>NC_000010.11:81203701-81355216 GCF_000001405.40 Homo sapiens
CATATAGGCTGGGCGTGATGGCTCATGCCTGTAATCTTAGCACTTTAGGAGGCCAAGGCAGTTGGATCATTTGAGGTCAGGAGTTCTAGACCAGCATGGCCAACATGGTGAAACCCCATTTCGACTGAAAATACAAATATTAGCTGGGTGTGGTGGTGCATGCCTGTAGTCCCAACTACTTGGGAGGCTGAGGCTGGATAATTGCTTGAACCTGGGAGGCGGAGGTTGCAGTGAGCTGACATCGCATCACTGCACTCCAGCCTGGGCAAGAGGGTGAGACTGTCTCAAAAAAAAAAAAAAAGCAGACTATATGTGATGGTTAATATTGAGTGTCAACTTGATTGGACTGAATTGTTCCTGGGTGTGTTTCTGAGGGTGTTGCCAAAGGAGATTAACATTTGAGTCAGTAGACTAGGAGAGGCAGACCCACCCTCAATCTGGGGGGGCACTATCTAATCAGCTGCCAGTGTGGCTAGGGTAAAAGTAGGCGGAGAAACATGGAAGGACTAGATTGGCTAAGTCTTCCGGCCTCCATCTTTCTCTTGTGCTGATGCTTTCTGCCCTCAAACATTAGACTCCAAGTTCTTCAGCTTTTGGACTCTTGGACCTAAACCAGTGGTTTTCCAGGAGCTCTTGGGCCTTCAGCCTCAGACTGAAGGCTGAACTGTTGGCTTCCCTAGTTTTGAGGTTTTGGGGCTCGGTCTGGCTTCCTTGCACCTCACCTTGCAGACAGCCTATTGTGGAACTTCACCTTGTGATCATGTGAGTCAATACTCCTTAGTGAACTTCCTTTCATATACACATCTATCCTATCAGTCCTGTCCCTCTAGAGAACTCTGACTAATACAGATTTTGGTACCTGGAGTGGTTCTAGGGGAACAGAGTTTTAAGGATGGAGTTCTTTAGTTAGGTTTGGGTTTCTGGCATTTGCTGCTCTATATGATTATGCCCCAAAATGCTAAGGACTGTACTTCTAATAGTTTGGAGAACACTGATAGTCCTTGGCATGAACTGTTTAGACACTTTTGCAAAATAAATGCATTTGATACTCCTGATTCACTGCTCTTGAGAGGCAAGGAGTTTATTGACTCTATACATAATATCTTTGACCATATGTGGAGAACCAAGGAATATAATGAAGTTGGTTGGTTGCTGCTAAGTTCACTAGATAAAGTGGTAAAAGAAAATGATGAACTCAGAGATTCTATCCCCCAACTCCAGAAGCACATACTGAGGCTCAAATCTTCTAAGATTGCCCTGAGTGAGAGTCTTATCTCCTGTAGAGAAAGAGTTGAAAGTATGGAAAATCAGACACAAGCTCTTATCATGAAAATGGCTGACCTGCAACTAAAGATTCATGCACAGCCTCGCCAAATGTCTACTGTTAAAGTGAGGGCATTGATTGAAAAAGAACAGGACCCTGCAACTTGGAATGGGGACATGTGGAAGGACCCCAATGAAGCTGGGGGACTGAGATCCTAAATTCTGATGAGCTAGCTTTTTTTGCCAGAGAAAACTTCTAGCAGTGCACCTCGTGGTACATTTTGCTTGGAAAGAGAAATGGCCAGATCCGCGATTATATACTGATACAATGAGCAATAGCCAATGGTTTGGCTGGATGGTCAGGGACTTGGAAGAAGCATGATTGGAAAATTGGTGGCAAAGAAATTCGGGGAAGAGGTATGTGGATGGACCTCTCTGAGTGGTCACAAACTGTGAAGATATTCGTATCTCATGTGAGTGCTCACCAAAAGGTGACCTCAGCAGAGGAGAATTTTAATAATCAAGTGGATAAGATGACTTGTTCTGTGAACACCACACAGCCTCTTTCTCCAGCCATCCCTGTCATCACCCAGTGGCCCCATGAACAAAGTGGGCATGGAGGCAGGGACAGACGTTATGCATGGACTCAGCAACATGGACTTCCACTCACTAAGTCCTACCTGGCTATGGTCACTGCTGAATGCCCAGTTTGCCAGCAGCAGAGACCAATACTGAGCCCTAAATATTGCACCATTCCTCAGAGTGATCAGCCAGCTATTTGGTGGCAGGTTGATTATATTGGACTTCCTCCATCATGGAAAGGACAGTGGTTTGTTCTCACTGGAATAGACACTCCAGATATGGGTCTGCCTATCCTGCATGTGATGCTTCTGCCGAGACTACCATCGTGGACACATGGAATGCCTTATCCACTGTCATGGTATTGTGTGCAGCATTCCCTCTGACCAAGGCACTCACTTTACAGCTAAAGAAGTATGGCAGTGTATTCATGCTCGTTAGATAGAGCCCTCAATCTTGGGGGGCACTATCTAATCAGCTCGTGGAATTCA
Source organism: Homo sapiens (assembly GCF_000001405.40). Lineage (NCBI taxonomy): Eukaryota > Metazoa > Chordata > Mammalia > Primates > Hominidae > Homo > Homo sapiens. Next base: position 81,206,035 of record NC_000010.11, read on the forward strand.
CTGGTCTTACCATGTTCCCCAACATCCTGGAGCAGCTGGATTGATAAAATGCTGGGATGGCCTTTTGAAGTCACAATTACAACACCAACTAGGTGACAATACTTTGTAGAGCTGGGGCAAAGTTCTCCAGAAGGCTGTATGCTCTGAATCAGCATCCAATATATGGGACTGTTTCTCCCATAGCCAGAATTCATGGGTCCAGGAATCGAAGGGTGGAAGTGGCAGTGGCACCACTCACCATCACCTCCATTCATCATCACCCCTAGTGACCCATTAGCAAAATTTTTGTTTCCTGTTCCTGTGACATTATGTTCTGCTGGCCTAGAGGTCTTAGTTCCAGAGGGAAAAATGCTGCCACCAGGAAATACAACAATGATTCCATTAAACTGGAAGTTAAGATTCCACCTGGCCACTTTGGGATTCTCCTAGTTCTAAGTCAACAAGGTAAGAAGGGAGTTACAGTGTTGGAAGGGGTGATTGACCTGGACTATCAAGATGAAATCAGTCTACTACTCCACAATGGAGGTAAGGAAGATTACGCTCGGAATACAGGAGATCCCTTGGGGCATCTCTTAGTATTACCATGCCCTGTGATTAAGGTCAATGGGAAACTACAACAGCCTAATCCAGGCAGGACTACAAATGGCCCAGATCCTTTAGTAATGAAGATTTTGGTCACTCTACCAGGTAAAAAAACCACAACCTGCTGAGGTGCTTGCTGAAGGCAAAAGGAATACAGAATGGGTAGTAGAAGAAGGCAGTCATCAATACCAGCTATGGCCACATGACCAGTTGCAAAAATGAGGACTGTAATTATCATGAGTCTTTCTTTCTCATTTTATTAAGAACATGTTTGTGCATATATACACTTGTACTAAAAAACAACTTCATTTTATTTTCTTTCTTTTTCCTTTATTATGTGACATAAGATTTATGGAGTTCATATCAGCATTTAAGTGTTAACTTTATGTAATAGCATTTGGGTTGGGGATTGGTGCATTTCTGGTTGTATGAAGGATAGCTGTATTATGTTAGGTATAATTGTAACCTTATTACTGTCTTTATTTGACGATTACGTATTACGATTTCAGGAGATGTGTATGGGTTCAAGTTGACTAAGGATGGACTTACGATGATTATGGGTTCAAGTTGACTAGGGGTGGACTTGTGATGGTTAATATTGAGTGTCAACTTTATTGAATTGAAGGATGCAAAGTATTGTTACTGGGAGTGTCTGTGAGGGTGTTGCCAAAGGAGATTAACATTTGAGTCAGTAGACTAGGAGAGGCCGACCCACCCTCAATCTTGGTGGGCACCATCTAATCAGCTGCCAGCATGGCTTGGATAACAGGCAGAGGAATATGGAAGTACTAGACTGGCTAAGTCTTCCAGCCTCCATCTTTCTCCCATGCTGGATGCTTCCTGCCCTCGAACATTGGACTCCAAGTTCTTCAGCTTTTGGACTCTTGGACCTACACCAGTGGTTTGCTGGTGGCTCTCGGGTATTCAGCCACAGACTGAAGACTGCACTGTCGGCTTTTTTACTTTTGAGGTTTTTGGGGCTTGGACTGGCTTCCTGGCTCCTCAGCTTGCAGATGGCTTATTGTGGGACTTCACCTTGTGATCGTGTGAGTCAATACTCCTTAATAAGCTCCCTTTTATATATACATCTATCTTATTAGTCTTGTCCCTCTATAAAACCCTGACTAATACACTATACGTAGTTGAAGAGAGGATTTATGAACTAAAAGATAGATATTACAAATTTATCTAGAACAAAATACAAAGAAACAAAAGTATGGAAAGCAAGGAAAAGAAGCTGATATAATAGAGGATAGAGTGCTGAATTCAAAGTATATCCAATTTGTAGTTTTAGAGTGAAGAGAGGAAAAATAGGGGTGGTGCAATACATTAAATAAAATTGGCAAATAATTTTTTATGACCAGTGAAAGACATCAGTTTTGATTCAGAAAACCCAATAAATCCCAATCAGGCTAAAAATATATTCACTCAAATATATGATGATTAAAAATACTTAATATAGAAACAAAGAGAAAACCTTCAAAGGAACTAGAAAAGAATGTACAGATTATATTATACAAATCAAAAAAATGAACTGATGTTATTCATCACAATGAAAGCCTAATGCAAAATTAGGTAGAGAGCATATTCAAAGAAATAATAGTCAAAACCTGAAAGCTGGGGAAGAAATGGACATTAAAATCCAGAAAGCTCAAGGTATCTCAAATGAGATGAACTCAAATAAATTCACCATGAGACACATTGTAATCAAATTGATAAAAGTCAAAGAGACAATTTTTAAAAGCAGCAAGAGAAAAGCAACTCATTACATACAAGGAAACTTCCAGCAGATTTCTGTGCAGAAACATTGCAAACAAGAAGGGAATATATTCAAAATACTGAAAAGAAAAATGGCTAACCAAGAATATTATACATGGTAAACCCTTCCTTCAAAACTGAAAGATAGATAAAGAAATTTCTGGACAAACAAAAGCTGATGGAAAAAAGTTCTAAAAAAAAAGTTCTTCAAGTTGAAACAAAAGGATGGCAAACAGTAACCAGGAAGCATATAAAAGTATAAATCTTTCCAGTAAAGGTAAATATATAGACAAATACAGAGCACTGGAGTATTGTAACAATAATAGGCAAGTAATTTTAAAGTCTAATATAAAAGTTAAATGCAAAAATTTAAAAAAATAACTATGCAGTCATCCCTCTGTTCCTGCAGTTTCTATATCTGTGCTTTCAACCAACTGGTGATTAAAAATACTTGGAGAAAAAAGTAAAAAATAACAGTACAACATAACAAAAATAAAAACCAATAGGGATAACAATTATTTACATAGCATTTACACAGTATTAGGCATTATAAGTGGTCTGGAGATGGCTTAAAGTATATGACAGGATGTGCATAGGTTATATACAAATACTATGCGATTTTTTTAAAAGGGACTTGAGGATATACAGATTTTAGTATCTATGAGGGATCCCACATACAGTTGTATATATGAGTTCTTGGAGTTCTTGGTATCCACCTTGTGGATACCAACCTACAATTATAATTGTACAAATATTTAATCAACGCACAATATAAAATGGTAAATTGTGATGTCAATAACATAAAGAATGTGTGTGAGGGGAAGAGAAATAAAAGAGTAGGGATATTTTATGCAAGTTGTAACCAAAAGTGACCAGTGGTGGCTATATTTATGTAAAAAAAAGACTTAAAAAACTGTCACAAAAAAAATGAAGGGCACTATATAATGATAAAAAGATCACTTCAATAGAAAGATATAACAATAATATATGTAACATATAATATATATGCACTCAACATCAGAGCACCTAAATATATAAAGCAATTATTTATAGAACAGCAGGGAGAAATGGACAGCACTATGACAACAGTGAGAGACTTCAGTTCCTCACTTTCCATAATGGTTACAATATCCAGACAGAAAACCATTGAGTAAACTGTGTGTTTGCACAACGCTATAGAACAAATGAAATGAACAGAGCTAAAGAATATTCCTCCCAACAGCCACAGAATGCATATTATTCTCTAGTACACACAGAACATTCTCTGTTGTAGGTCACATGTTAGGACACCAAATAAGTCTTAACAAATTTAAGAAAACTGAAATCATACCAAATATTTTCTATCAAAAGGAATAAAATCAGAAATTACCTGCAGAAGGAAAATTGGAAAATTCACAAATATGTAGAAATTAAACAACACACTCTTTAACAGCAAATAAGTCAAAGAAAAAAACCAAAAGGGAAATTAGAAATCATCTTGAGATCAGTGAAAACTAGAAACATTATACCAAAACTTATGGATGCAGCAAAGGCAGTGCTAAGAGGAAAATTTGTAATTAAAAAAATGGCTACATTACAAAAAAAAAGAACTCAATTAAACAACCCAATTTATACTTTAATGAACTATAAAATAAAATTAAACTAAGTCCAAAGTTAGCAGATGGGAAGAACTATACAGCTTAGAGCAGAAATAAACAAAACAGAGAATAGAAAAATAATAGAAAAAAATCAACAAAGCTAAGAGTTTTTTTGAAAGGTTAAACAAAATTGACATGCCATTAAGCTATACTAACTCAGAAAAAAGAGAGAAAATTCTTTAATCATAAATGAGAGGTTTATATAAAACTACTGTAGGCAATAGTGCATCAATAAATTGCATAATCTAGAAGCAATGTATATATCCCTAGAAACATAGGAACATTAGGAAATAGCAAATTTGAAGAAGCCTGTAACTAGTAATATGACAGAATCAGTACTCAAGACCTCTCAACAAAAAAATAAGCACAGGACTAAATGGCTTCACAAGTGAATTCTAGTAAATATATAAAGAAGAATTAACACTAATCCTTCTCAAACCTTTCAAAAAATTAAAGAGGAAGAAATACTTCCAAACTCATTACCAGCATTACCCTAATATAAGCCAGCATTACCCTAAAATCAAAGCCACACAAGGACACTACAAGAAAACTACAGGCCAATATTCTTGATAAACATGGATGCAAAAATCCTCAGCAAAATATTATCAAACTAATTCAACGGCACATTATAAAAATCACACACCATGATCAAATGGGATTTATCCCTTGGATGCAAGGATGGTTCAACATAAGAAAATTAATTAACTTAACATACCACAAACAAAGAATGGAGAATAAAAATCGCATGATCATCTCAACAGAGGCAGAAAAAACAATTTACCAACCTCAATGCTTTCATGATAAAAACCATCGACAAACTAAAAATAAAAGTAAGTTGCCTCGACATTATAAAGGCTATATTTAAAAATTCAACAGCTAACATCATATTCAATAGTGAAAAACTGAAAAATTTTCCTGTAAGGTCAGAAACGAGACAAAGATGCCCACTCTCGTCTCTTCTATTCAACAAAGTACTGAAAGTCCTAGCCAGAAAAAATGGACAAAAGAAATAAATAAAAGGCATCCGAATCAGAATGGAAGGGGTAAAATTATCTCTGTTTTCAGATGACATGATCTTATTTGAGGAAAATTCTAAATACTCCACTAATGAACTGTTAAAACTAGTAAACAAATTTAATAAAGATGCAGGATATAAAATCCACATATAAAAATAATTTTGTTTTTATACACTAAAAACAAACCAAAAGAAAATTAAGAAAATAATTTCACTTACAATGGCATCAAAAAGGACAAAATACTTGGGAATAAGTTAACTAAGTAGGTAAAAGACTTGTAGATTGAGAACTACAAAACATAAGTAAAGTAAAGAAGACACAAATAAATGGAAAGATACCCCATGTTCATAGATGGAAGACTAGTATTGTTAAAAAGGCCATACTACACTAAGAGAGTTATAGATTATTTTCAATCTCTATCAAAATCCCAGTAGCATTTTTTACAGAAATGGAAAAAATATTCTGAAATTCGTATGGAACCATAGGAGACCTGAACAGACAAAGCAATCTAGAGAAAAAAAGAGCAAAGTCAGAGGCATCACACTTCTTGATTTCAAAATATATTATAAATGTCTAGTTATAAAAATAATACAGTACTGGCATAAAGACAGACATATAGACCAATAGAACAGGGTGGACAGCCCAGAAATAAACTCAGGTGTATATGGCAACTGATCTTTGCAAAAATCAACTCAAAATCGATTCAATACTTAAATGTGAGACATGAAACTGTAAAATTCCTAGAAGAAAACATAGCTAATAAACTTTATGAGATTGGACTGGCAATGATTTCTTGGATATGACACCAAAAGCATAGGCAACAGAAGAAAAAATGGGCAAACGGGATTGCATTGAACTAAACAGCTTCTGCATAGCATAGGAAATAGTCAACAAAGTGAAAAGATGATTTACAGAATGGGAGAAAAATATTTCAAACTGTGTATCTGAAAATGGATTAATATCCAACATATATATAAAGCTGTTTCAATTCAATAGCAGAAAAAAAAATAACCTGATTAACAAATGGGTGAAAGACTTGAATAGCCATTTCTCCAATGAAGACAAATTGCCTACAGGTATATAAAAAGATGCTCCACATTGCTAATCATCAGGGAAATGCAGATCAAAATCACAATGAGATTCCACTTCACTTCTGTTAGGATGGCTATTATTGAAAAGAAAAGAAGATAACGAATGTTGGTGAGGATGTGGAGAAACTGGAAATCTTGTATACTGTTGGTGGGAATGTAAAATACTGCTATGGAGAACGATATGGAGGCTCCTCAAAAAAATAAAAGTAGAAATACCATATGATCCAGCAATGCCACTTCCAAATATTTATTCAAAATAATTGAAATTGAGATCTTGAAAAGATATTTGCACTTTCATGTTTGCAGCAGTATTCACAATAACCAAAAATAAAACGTTCATTTTAATTCCTGGTTTTGATATTGTACTGCAGCTATATAAAGTTGTCATTACTAAGAGAAGCTGGGTAAAGGAAAGGACTCGTGACACTATGTACTTTTTTTGCAAGACTGAGTCTATAATTATTGTGGAATAAAAAGCTGACAATATTGTGTCTAAAAAATGTAGCCTTATTTTTCTAGAACAGTCTGTTAGGTGAACCCCTGAGTAATTGCCCGTATTTGATCATTAACCTATAGAAAAGGCAGTTTGACATTCATCACATAATGGAACAACTTTTGAACAATGGAAGGAATCTGGAATTCGTAAGTTTGGAGCCCCTCCTCCTTTGCTTAATACTGCATTTAAATTGTGGAAACTTACATAGGCTATGACATCAGGAAAGAAGCCTTTTCTTCTGGTCACTTTCTTCCTATGCCGTCCTGCCTGAGCTGGATTTTACCTGGAAAGGTCTTAGGCTTGCAGTCTATTCACTTGGGGCATGGCTCAGTCACTTTTAATCTTGATTGTCAGTTCACTTGGTTTTGAATTCCTCTCTGTTTACTCCATTGCACTGCTCAAAGAACTCTGTAGCATTCTTTTGATCTGATACTATGGTGGCCTCAGGAAAAGTGGTGATCTTTCTGTGGCCCTACATGCTGTGAAGGTACACAGAGAGATTTCTGCTTATCTTGTACCAAAACATAGAGTGGGTAAGTTTGCAGTTTGTCTCAACTGCTGTATGACTAGCCCCAATTGGGTCCTTGCTTTCTCCCAGAACCTCTGGGAAATGGAGCATAACATCAACCTGAAATTTCTGGAAATGCCCAAAGGAAGGAAGACTTACAATGTCTACTCAATCTTTGTGTCTCTTCAATCTTTCCTCCTCCTCACACCATTCTGGAGACACTTTATCTAAATATTTAATAATCTTACCTTTGATTTATAGAGTTTTTTTTTTATGAATCCTCTCAGAGCCTAAGCTTTTGAAAATCACAATCTATTTCTTTGTTACTGTTAATTTACTTTCCTAAAGCAATAGCTACCTCATAGTTTATTTGCTGGAATGCAGTTGGATGGGGGCCAGGGGCAAAGAGTAACTAGAAATAGCAACGGACCCCATCATTCAGTGTTTCAAAATTGGACTGTGCTATATTTCTTCTTCTAGCAAATATTGACATGGCTACAAGAAAGACTTGCTGCTATTCCAGATCTGTATTCTCTTTCTGGCTCCCCAGGCTCTCACCTCTGAAGCATACAACTCCATTTCTAGCTCTTCTCTGGGGGCTCAGTAAGTTTATTCTCATAATAAAACACTACAAAAAAAACCTGCACTTGTCCTTTCTTCCTAAAATCTGACAACTTCTTTTGGTGGGCGGGGGTAGCGTGGGAACCTTAATAAATATTTCAAAAGCATTCTTCTTTGGGAGTGTTCTTAGCTAGTCTGTGGTGGAGGAGGCCCATCTTTCTGCCTGTGTAACATTAAAACAAAAATGAGTAAATTCTAGTCTCTTCCTTCTGTTATTTGGCCTTGATGAATTACTTTTCTTGATGATCCAGCAAATATGGAATATTGATTCAGGTCATAAAGAAGTTGCTTCTAAGGCTTTCAAACCCACGAATTTTATCACATTTATCAGTCTGAATGTTTCATAAATTTTGTTTAAAACTGACTAGAGACATTAATATTTCATTCAAATGGTTTTTTCAGAACACAAAATGCATTATTATTTTCTCTTCTAGATTTACTACTTTTATCAACAGATTTCAATACTTAAAAAATTATTAGTTAAATTTTCACAGCATTGTGGAAATGTATGAATATTTATAATATGGGTAAAATTACTGTGTCTCAATATTTGTAGAGAAAATGCCTATGATACCCATGACAATGGTGAAATATTCCATCTGTGTATGATGCTGGTTAGATGACAGTGATTTTCCTAGTTGCGGTCCTTTGTCTTACTTTCCCCAGGCACTTCTTTGTTAGTTTAAGTTTATGTTCTTATAGTTGCTTCAAATTGGACTCACAGTAATGATACTCACTGAGTTCTTAAGTGTTCAAAAAATAGATATAGCATTTATACTTGGAAAACAACTTGGCTGTCTATAAAATACTTGGACCAACTTTATTTCCTTGAGAATCTTGAAGGTGTTACACCACCATCTCTTAGAATTCAATGAAAAATGAAATTTGTGGTCAACATGATCTTTTCTCCTAGTTGCCTAAATTATTATTACTTTATTTCTGAAAGTTTGCATATTTATTATGATACATCCAGGGCAAATTATTCTGCATCAGTTTTCCTACCACATGGTATGCTCTTTAAGTATATAGATGTAAGGCTTCTTTTAATATATTTAAAAATATTGGTTCTCCTCTACTGTTTTGGCTTTCTTCTTAGGGACAAAGTATCTTCTGTGTGCCAGTTCCCCTGTGCCTATCTTTTATATCTATCCCCATCTCCCCAGCAGTTTTAAACTCTTTTTCATATCATTTTGCATACTTTTTTTTATAGGTTTCATGTTGTATTTTCCACAGTGTGTGTTTTCCCTTGCATTCATTGTGATTTTTTTTTTTCCTTCTTTCTGGAATGGTTTCATTTTTACTGTTTTCCTAAGTTTTGACAGTTTATCTTTTATCTTCTCCAGATAACCCATTATTTCTGCCCTGAATTTTAGCTCTTCCAACTTTCCTTCCTAAAGGCAATTGTCTTCTAAAATTTTTTGTATATTCTTGGGAAAATATTTAGATCTAATTATGTCTTCTATATGGCATACTTTTAAAATAAAAAGTCTGTTGTTATAAAGCTTTAAAACTATTTTGTTCATTTTTATTCACATATTGTGTTTATATTGATGCTGTTGCTGTTTCTGTTTTATCACTGGCCACTGAAGAAATTGAATTTCCTGAGCTTGCCATTTCTGTAAATGGTGGTTAGGGAGGAAAGCCTCATGGCCAGGTTGATCTTCCAAAAAGCTGGCATTCAACCCAAGCACCAAGTACACTTCCTCTTCCCTTGACTAAGTGAGGTACAGGGGGACCACTGGCACCAAATCTGCTAGCTACAGTGCCAACACTGAAATAGCCCACGACATCAGAAGAATGCAATACTGGTGCTCAGATTTGCCTTTACTTTGATGATACTTTTTCACTCTCTGTACTTCTTGTCCTCACTTGCTCTCAAGAGGATCCCCCAATCTAGTTACTTTTGGCAGGCTTTATGTGTATTGCAAAATCTGTCGTTTTTATCTGTCTCCTAGTTTCACCATAAATGGTTTTCCAGGGTTTTCATTCTACATTCTGCTTTTGGATGATTTCTAGGCAGAGAATGAGAAATGCTGACTCATCCAGCTATGCTCCTACCATAAGTTCCAACATTGCTAATTTTAGATAGGAAAAGTTTGAATACACAGATAAAAACATATATATATAATGAAAATTTCCCGGTCTGTAAAACTCATGTAGAGAAATACGTAAAGACATAATAAAATTAAAAGTGTATATGTGGTAAAAGCTAGTTTCAAAATCTTTTCGATATGCTATGAAGTACGCAAAGGTATAGAAAAAGTTTTGAGAATTATATATAGAATGTGTAAGGGAAGAAAAGACATGATACCTTTCCTCATCCACCATAAGGATCACTGCAGACACTCACTATAACCAAAGACATGTTAACAAGAGAAAAGCATAACAAACTTATTTAACTAACATTTTACGTGACATAGGAGCCTTCAGAAATGAAGAACCAAAAAGCCAAGAAAACTGTCTATTTTTCTGCTTAGGTTCTATGAAGAATGGACAGTCATGCAGAAATGTCATTGGACAAAAAGGTATAATCTAATGGTAATAGACCAGAAACCCAGCAAGGCCTGTCTGGATTCTTCTTGGCCTCTCTGTGTAGCATTCCTTCCTCCTGCGTATGTCACAGGACCCCTCTGGAATGAGGGTCTTCAAGGGAGAAGGGAGAGAGTGACCTCTCTTGTTTTTACAGCTAGCTTTGGGAGAGGGGTCCTAGTTCCACCTTGGGAAATGGAAGTCTGGTTTCTATGTATTGCTTTGAGGAGAAAGAAGGGAAGGAGACAGGAGGGTGGGAGAAGGTCAGAGAGACCTTACTTCTGAGGCTGTTGCTGAGGCCTTCTAATCTTCCATTCCAAGTACGTAGCATGTCAAAGCACTATACCCTCTGACCCCCAACAAAGGCAATGACGGTTTAATGAATGTTTTTAATTACATTCTTTTAGATTTTTCTGAATTATATAATTTTCAGAATGAAAAGAATTGTCTTGTTTGAAGAAAAACAAGTTATGATAATGCATTTTATAACTAATGCATTTTATGCAATTTTATTTATGGATATATTCTTATTTTTTTCTTTATAATTTAGATTGTTACTGTTTTCTTCTGTTCATTTCAAGACAGTAATCTGTCACTCCAAATTTAGATTAACTTATATCTTCATCTAATCTTGGTGGTTTTTATGTTTCAATGCTTCCTCTTTTTTTTTTCTTTTTTTAAGACAAGGTCTCACTCTGTCACCCAGACTGGAGTGTTGTGGCATGACCTCGGCACACTGCAACCTCCTCCTCCCAGGCTCAAGCGATTCTCCTGCCTCAGCCTGCTGAGTAGCTGGGATTGCAGGCACATGCCACTACTGCCCGGCTAATTTTTGTATTTTTAGTAGAGATGGAGTTTCATCATGTTTGCCAGGCTGGTCATGACCTCAAATGTTCCACCCACCTCGGCCTCCCAAGGTGCTGGGATTACAGGCATGAGCCACCGTGTGGCCCAATGTTTTAATTCATAAATTTAACTTTTTATAGATATTATTTATAATTAAATATCTCAGCATCATTTATTAGATTATCTTTGATTTTTCCCATTCATTTGAAATACTATTTTTCCTACACATTATCAGTAGTTCTCAATTTTTTTTCCTCTGATGCAACTGTTTAATGATATTTATGCCATCACAAATGATATCCCACTGTGACCTGCTATGTACATAAGGCAATTCCCATATTTGCAATAATTGGAAGGTGTACTTATTGCATCTTCATCTTTTTTTCCTCCAAGATCAATGATATACAATAGCTCAGAATCTATAAACCAGGTATTTATAGATTTTGTTTTGCTTTTGGTCTTTTTATTGTTTCTACATATTTAATAAAATACAGATATTACTTTTTTTGGAGGGTTTTTGTTTTGTTTTGTTTTGTTTTGTTTTGTTTTGAGGTGAGGTCTTGCTCTATCACCCGGGCTAGAGCGCAGTAGCACAATCACAGCTCACTACAGCCTCAACCTTCTGGGCTCAAGTGTTTCTCCCACTTCAGCCCCCACAAGTAGCTGGGACCACAGGCATGCACCACTCTGCCTGGCTAATTTTTTAATTTTGTAGAGAAAATGTCTCCCTATGTTGCCCAGGCTGCTCTCAAACTCCTGGGCTCAAGTGATCCTCTTCCCTAGGCCTCCCAAAGTGCTGGGTTTACAGGCATGAGCCACTGCACCTGGCCTAATTATGATAATTTTATGACATGTTGTCATATCTGACACAGTGAGATATCCCTTTTGTATTTCTTCAAAATTTCATTCAGCCCAAGTCTATAATTATTTGGACAAGATTTTACATTCAAGAGATAATTCTTAATTTACTAAATAATTTGTTTGAACCATTAATGGCAAACTGATATTTTCGGAGTATTTCTTTTTTCTATTCAAGAATATTGGATGTATCTGCATTTTTCAAGTCTTCTTTTATGGCACTTACCAAAATTGCATAGTTTACATTATTTTCTTTGAAATAATAGATATTTTATAATATAATGGGCTTTCAGATTTTCTTTTAAGAGAAACTTTCCTAAAAGTATTATAAACTGGACTTGAGAGGAGCATGACTAAAGATAGGGCAGAAAAAATATTTCCACGATTACGATAACTCTAGCATGAAATGAGATGGGCTAAAATTGAATAAAGAGTGGTAATAATGAAAAAAATGGCATTTGTGAGCAGCTTGCAGTTAATAAAATCAATAGGACATGGTGACTGTTGAGTGTGGAATGTCAGAAAGAGGCAAAAGTCAACATCGATCCCTAAGTTGCTAGCAAAGTTCAGACCTAGGTTTCAGAAATTAAAGCATTTCTTCAGAATGGGTTGGGCTTACAGTGTATGGTAGAGCTTGTAGGTGAAGATTTCGGTAGGTAATTAAATATATTATCATCCTATTGATCTTGGCTTAGACCTCAATTTCTTCATTTGTAAAATGAGGATGATTACAGTTACTTCATGGAGTTTGAGCGACGATGGGAAACATACTTCCGGTTTCCCTCTTTCTCCTCCCTTCTACTTTTGATATAATTACTTAGCTACCATTCCCAGCTGTAAAGACAAGAAACACAAGGGAATATCAAACTAAGTAGAATAGCCAGTTTGCACATCTGTCTCTTCAAAAATGGCAGCCTCTAACATAGACCAATATGTACTGTATTTATATTTATCAAGCCAATTTATGTAACAACAATATGGACTCATTTTATTGCAGTATTCGACCATTTTTACTCATCCAGTAATTATTAATTATCTTGAAATGGTATTTGCAATAATAAAGTCCATATGAATGGTTTGTTTTGGAAAGTAAAATAGTTATCAGCTGTGTGTACATGTAAATCTGAGATACATTGTATTTTTTAAACAGGACTCATATCTTTTCATTTTTAAAGTCACATTTCCACAGCAGCTTTATTTTCTTTCACAATTTTTATGTCTAACTACTTCATCCCAACTAATTCCATAAAAAATAGTTTGCAAAAATTCATCATGGTCATCCAATTTAAATTTTTGTATGTGTGAACATAAACATTTTTCCTATCCTTAGCTCGTATGATTCTGTATGACTTGTGAATTATGTTCAGCTGTTGCTCCAGTGACAATATAAACAAAATCTTATTTTAAGCCTGAAAATTTGCAAAGAGAGAGAAAATTTAATATTGCCTCTCTAGAAATTGACATGATACAAGAATGTAATTGATCTTGGATACTTGAGATGAAATAAACCTTGGATAACATAGATGACCCTGAGTTAGTCAAGTGAAACCGCTATCTGTTTTCAGAAGTATCAACATACAATCATACTTTTTAATGCTTTTTATGTCTTAAGTGATCAAAATAAAATTTTAGGCAGCAAATCATGGCAGTGGGAATTGGGATACATATAAATAGAAATAAAGAGAGTATTATTTTTATATTTTTTAGGAGTTTGGAAATTCTGATATTTTTTACACTATGATAGAAAAATATATTTGAAATTTTGCTTTTAAATGTACTGGCTGCTATTTTAAAAAGCAGTGAAATGCATAACTTAAAATGCTATAATAATAATGATAATAATAATAAAACCAAACCTAGTGAATCCAATAGAGACACTATAGGAGAAAAAGACTTAGGGCAAGCACAGCAATTAGAAACACAAAATGAGAATGAAAAATAATTCCAAAAATATCAAGACTCATAACAAATAGAAGGAAACTAAAACCACTTAGTGAAACTAAAACCACTTAAACAAACATTTAAAAATAACATTTTCTCTCAACAATCAAAAACTATGTAGAAACTTGGAAAATAAAGATACAAAACAGACAACTGCAGAAAAAATTCTAATTTTTTAAATACGAGGACAAAGGAAGCTGGTGTATACATATGAATAAAAGACCAAATAGATTTGAATCTGAAAAACATTAAAAGTGAAAGAGAAGACAATTTTAATCAGTAAAAGACTTCTCTTTTTCAAGAAGATGAGCTTGTATTAACCAAACAACCTAAATTTGAAATACATATAACAAAATCTTGCAGAAATCAAGATGAAGTAAATACATTTCATAAAAGAAAAAAGAAAGATAAAATTGCAAAAGATACAAATTATAAAGTAGTAGCTTTGCCTCATGTGTGTGCATGTGTATGTGTGTACACTTCTAACACAAAAAATATATAAAAATACTAATAAAATCTCAGCAACAGAATCTCAAAATATTGCCAAAACAAATGACAAAAGTCAGTCAATGTTACCTGACTGCAAACCAGCTAAGGAAAAGAATTATCAAAATTGAAGTCATTTGGAAACCACAGACTACACGTAAATACAATGCACAGGCTCTAAAGTGATAGTTGAAATTACAGATATATACATTTACATACATATATATTAATAAGTACTTATAAGTATGTGTTTATGCACTTTAGGCCTTTGGACATCCTATCCCCAATGTGTATCTTTGGACATTTTACCCCCCCAAAAATGTTGAAGTCTGCAAACCAAAAGATTTATCCAGAATTGCTGCTGTGGCCAAAGTGGAGAGGGAATTAAAATAAAATGAATGTTCAGTGTTTAATGCCAGTTAATGGAGTAATCAAGAAACAAAGACCAACATATTCACCATTTAACAAGAATTAGCACAAACCTCTCCTGTGGGGAAGAGTGAGTAAAAGGCCGGAGAGTGGCCAGGAATTTTACCGTAATGGAATTTTTTCCATATGAGAACCTAACACCAAAGGAAAGAAGACTCCTTCACAAAAATTCACTGTTCATCATTGTTTTCTCTGCCCTTTTTTAGCTCTGATCTTGCTATCTCTGTTTAGACTCAATTGTCATTTGGTTAGAGAACACTCAAGTATTATTTCAGGTAAGAAACATGGTGGTTCACTCTGAATCCTTCAGTGTTCCAAGATAACATTTGCTCAGAAAGATAAACAATATCTAGACCATAGAGAGAGTTGTTAGATTGAGTAACTTTTCCTCTGTGAGTTTAAATAAATTTAGACATACACAAACACACATATGTAAAATATGAAGAAAATTGTAAACTCTGTGATAACTCACAAATTTTTGCATATGAAATTAGTCCTATATTGAATTAATTTCCTTTGTAATTAGCCTGGTTAAAATTATACTTAAATAAGTCCTTGTTTCTAGGGACAGTGACCCAGCATCCCATCCAGTTACTATCCCTTGACAGTATCCCGATTTGGAGAATAAATTAAATGGTTACTCTAGATTTCTTTCTTCATTTCAGGAAAAGTGTTTTCTATTGCTTCTTTAAACATTACTTCTATGCAAGAATTCCAGCTACTCACTTGCTAAATTCTCTTTATCTGACCTCTAAGTCTTTTTTATTTAATTTGCTCTAATGATAATCTGTATTTTGCAGGGTTTTTTGGTTATTTTAAATTCTTTCACTTGTATATCAAGATTCAGTAGCAGTCATATGCTTTTTAATTTTCTTATTGAAAAAATATTTTAATTTGTACTGCATTTTGACTCCTTCCTTTTTCTTTTCTGCTTTTAATATATTTCCTTTACCTTTCTTATTTTTTAGGTTAACTTTTATCTTTGTAAAAATAAAATGTTACTAAGAGGCTAATATTGTAAAACAATAAGTCCCTACTCTACCTCTCCTGAAAACCTAGGCCTGACACCCTGAGGCAATCATTTTAACTCTTGTAGTATTTTTTCCTACTTGCATTTATATTTTTAAACAATACACCCGTACTATTTTGTGTTGCTTCATAAGTTGCTTGTGTGTGTGTGCTGTATACAGCAGTAGAATACAGTAATAAGGAGCATGGTGCTTTGAGCCAGGCTGCTTCAGTGCGAATCCCAGTGCCACCACTTACTTGATGTCTAATCCTGAACAAGTTATTTAACCAATTTGACTGCAATTCCCTTATCTATAAATAGGAATGATAATATCACCTAATTCATGGTATTGATGGGAAAATTGCTTGTTATTTTCACCAATATATATTACTAATGCATTTTCTCTAGCTATTCTCCAGTTTTGAACTCTATTCTATACGTTCCTTTCTCCCATAATAGATAACAAAAATTCTGACACTATATGTGGTTCTTCAGGGATGTTTACTTTTATTCTTGTTAGAATTCTCCAGGAAACCACTTAGTTTATGCTTCACCTACCTGCCTTTCATCTTGAAAAAAAAATTTGTTGGACAATTTTGTCTGCTGTTTTCTCCCTGCTTTCTTTTGGATTGACATTCCTCTACCATGATTTCGATGATATCTGGGGAGAGAGAAAAGATAAACATATATACTCAATCTTCCATATTCTGAATGCAATATAATTAAAAATTATTTCATGCATTCACATAAATCTAAAATCATTGCGCATGATGCAGATCTATACCATTTTTCTCAAGTGAAACAACATTGAATTGTTTTTCACATTCTCTCTTTCAAGAAAGTGGTGAGTCTGTATTTTTGACTGAATTATATATAAGCAGTTTTCTCTGGAGGTGGTGAACTTTTCTTGCCATCACTGCTCTAGACAGTTGTTAGAATAAGAAGAGAAGGGAGCTGGTGCAGTTGGAGGGAAGCTGAGGGAAGAAAGAATGTCTAGGAGGAAGGTTAAATCAAGGATCTCAAAGTTGCATAAAAACGACAACATTATTGCCTTTAAAATAGCATTGCCGGCCGGGCGTGGTGGCTCACGCCTGTAATCCCAGCACTTTGGGAGGCTGAGGCGGGCGGATCACCAGGTCAGGAGATGGAGACCATCTTGGCTAACGCAGTGAAACCCCGTCTCTACTAAAAATACAAAAAATTAGCAGAGCGTGGTGGCGGGCGCCTGTAGTCCCAGCTACTGGGGAGGCTGAGGCAGGAGAATGGCGTGAACCCGGGAGGCGGAGTTTGCAGTGAGCCGAGATCGCATCACTGCCACTCCAGCCTGGGCGACAGAGTGAGACTCCGTCTCAAAGAAAAAAAAAAAAAAAAGCATTGCCAGGGCTAGGTGTGGTGGCTCATGCCTGTAATCCCAGCACTTTGGGCTTCCGAGTCAGGCAGATCACCTGAGGTCAGGAGTTCAAGACCAACCTGGCCAACATGGGGAAACCCCGTCTCTACTAAAAAAACAAAAAAAATTTAGCCGGGCATGATGGCGGGTAACGGTAATCCCAGCTACTCAGAAGGCTGAGGCAGGAGAATTGCTTGAACGCGGGAGGCAGAGGTTGCAGTGAGCAGAGATCACGCCAGCGCACTCCAGCCTGGGCGACAGAGCGAGACTCCATCTCAAAATAATAGCATTGCCAGGACTAAGTTAGAAATAAAAGAATATGCTAAGTGTAATCGAGTGATCGTAAATTAAAATTAAAAACAAGCAAATCATTGGTTAAACAGAAAAACATAGTGGTGAAAGGAAGATGAAAGTTAAAGTCATAAATTGAAGATGTAGGAAGCTTGGAAGGTACATTGGGTTTTAGTCTAATGGGGATTTGGAAATGTATTTTACTTGATATTTTGTATTGTATAGAGCACCCTTGACATAAGTAACTCCATCTTACATTCCAAAAGGCACCTTGCGTACAGATGTTTTGCCTAATCAATAAAGACTGCATCCAACCAAATAAGCATATAAGCAAGCATACTCTTCCACTATCAGTCCTCACGAGAGGACTCTGGTCATAAAAAAAGCAGGACTTCACCAGCTTGGAACGGCCATCTTAACAGACATTGTCGTGCTATCACTTGTAATAAGCACCTGGCATCCACCACTACTGAAGCCTCTGCCCACTTCAAAGACTCTTCCTTGCAAGACTGACAGATCACCTGGCCCAGACCAGGATATTTGTTTTGCTCAGATTGCTTTCTGTGGACTGGTTCATTAACGCTTTTTCCTATCCTTTTCCTCTTGATGTTAAATGTTACTTCATTTGTGCTGGAATGCTTAATCTATAATATTTACATATTGATTAAGTATACTATTATGTTCGATTTGCAGTATTGACTAACTTGTGGAATGGCTTGAGCCTGTGTGCCCACGGCTCTGACTACTGAGTAAATGGGAAGTACGAAGGAGAATTTCCTCCTTTGGAAGTCCGTGTAGCTTATGGCTTTTATGATTGAGATAGCATCAATAAAAGTCTGATGCTGTGGAAAGACACAAATATATGTGGACCTGATTACTTCTGACCTTGTGTCGCTCATGATAAAGATGGAGAAAATGAAGGTATAATTTTAGCATTTTACAGGAGTCACTCTGGAACAAGTTGTTGTTTCATCCCCATATTAAGTAAGAAACAAGTTAAATGATTTTCCAAAAAGAATGTTTTGTATTTGAATATAGGAGAGAATAAGAACTTATGAGGCAGGTGAGTTACAAAAAAACATGAAAAGCAAATGTTGGTTTGGATTTTTATTTCCAATGATCTTAATTCCAGAAAAATAAAAGGCAAAGCATTTATTGCATTGTAATGTGAGAGTGGAGCTTAAAGAGGGTGGGTGTCATTTGCAACAGTCATGTATAGCACAGGATGGGCTCTGCTACTGGTGATTATTGAGGTCAATTAGTACTAGAATATGGATGTTTAATTTCAGTCATCTTATTTCTTTACCTATACACTATAATAAAATAGTTTCACAAGGCAAGTGGGAAACCAAGTCTGACAGCGATTTGTAAAGTTACTCTAGGGGAGAACAGAAGGTGAATTAGGGAACTAAATCCACATGTGGGGACTACTTTCCAGATTTCAAGACTCAGGGCAATTGCACAGAAATTCAAAAGAAGCCTGGCATGTGCAATTACAGTCAAGATGAAACCAATATGAGACTTTGTGCACAATTTCCTTTTTGCCTAATAAAATTTGAAAATAAAATCAGTAGACAAACCATATATGACCGTATTTTAAATGCAATTAATCATTTAGGGTTTTAAAAAAAGTATTTCTATCTAACCTGTGGGATAGTTTCCAGAAACAAACAAAACAACAGCAAATTTTAGGAAGAATAGGAACAGTCTCAAAGATTCAATGGAAACATTATTGAAAGACACAGAAAATACATGACAAGATTTATAAAATTTGCATATGTGAGAGATCGGCTAGATAGTAAAGTGAAAAAAGATATAGAATGCAGAGGAAACTAAGGCACAGTCACATTCTCAAGTCTAATTGAAAGATTTATTAAAGAATCATTGTAAATCCAGAAATTTTAGATCATTGATATACTGGAAAAGTTATACACTATTCAAAATTCGCCACCAGATGTTGATCAGTTCTTCCCCAGACATGCTATTAAGATTGTATCCCTTATTGGGACTACCCTATCAATTGTTAATGATAATAGTAATATGCTACTCAACTGTTACTGCTACTAAGACTATTGCCATTGCTGCTATTCACTCCCCTTTAATGCTTTTATTCCTTTTGCTGTGTGATACATTTGACATATATTACCTCTAACTTTATCAGTAATCACTACACCCATGTAGACGTGCAATATTCTAGGAAATCGCTTACACGTTTTACATAGGCTAACTCATTTAGATCCCATAAAAAGCCTATGAGTTAGAATCTGTCTTTTTCTCCATTTTGTAGAAGAAAAAACTTAAGGCTCGGAAATTTCTTTGAATTGGCTCAATGGCACACAGATAAGAAGACAGATTATTTAGTATCACTACATTAAACCTAAGGTAACTAAGTGTCATAACATGAAACCGAGGACTCAGAGATGTGACTTGTCCAAAACCACACAACAAGCAAGATATCCTCTCAGCCTATTGTCCTGATATAAATGAAGAGTTCATGCAATTCTAATACTGAGATATCTGCATTAAACAGACCTTTGTTCTCCTCTTGGCTGTAATATTTCAGAGCTATGAGAGTTTTGTCAAGTTATGTGAACTTTCTAAGCCCTCATGTCTATTCTGTGGGTGAAGACATCAATGCTTAGATTACAGATTTAGGAAGAATAAATAAACTGTTATCTTTGAAACGCTTACTACAGCACCTGGCAAAATATGTTTTTAACAGATTCTACATCTCTTATCCCTTTCTTTTCTTGTCACCAGCCGTGGGACCCAAGAAAATAAGAAGTAAAAGCATTTGTCATATTCTGCTTCTTTGTTTGAAATGGGTGCAATTTTGCCACAAAGGCTTGATTGGGGGAAAATATGAATAAAAAGCTTTTCCCTGAGATAGATATTTTCAAGTTTATTTTTTTAACTTGTCAGAAAAAAAATGCACCTCAATTTAAATGCACGCTCTGGATTATAACCTTTAGACAGTGCTATTTACACAAATAATATCCGGCCTTCCAGAACAAATAACGTGACACCAATATCCATGATTACCATTAACCTTAATCAGACATGGCAAGCTCGGAATTCTGTGACTCCAGAAAGACGTCCCCTGATTAGCTCTGCTCAGCAGTAGGCTTTCCTAGGTTGCACATTAATAGCTCCATCCCCCACCAAAGGGAAAGGAAAAGTCAGGACATGTTATTTGTGGAAAATGGATGATTATGAATGGACTGGCCACAGTGTCTACATTAAACAAACATGGAACATTGATTGGGGTGGCTGTCAAGTAGTTTTGATGGATTATTTTTTTCTTCATTTTTCTTTGAGAAGGATGTATTGGTTTAGCTCACTGCACAGCATCTAAACATGCTTGTAGATCATTTCTTCCTCGTTAAAACAAACAGCCTTGCATATTATGGCCTACAGATCAACAACCCATGGATTTCCCCAATAATTTATCCCAGAACAGCCTATGGTTGGCAGGTAGCTTTATAAAAGAGATATAATGTCTATTCTAAATAGATATACATTTAAACATTAATTTCAATCACTGGAAACTGAACTGAATAATGTATGTACCTAGTGACTGGAAAAATAGTGACATGAGAAATTTCAAAATATTTAATTACTGTTTTATTCCCTACCTTAGTAGGGAAGTACAGATGATAAGACAGAGCATGTCATTTGGAAAAAAATAAACAAGCAAAATGGACTTTAAGTTAGAAGGCTTGGACTCTAATTCGTCATTGTAACTAATCTACTGTGTGAGCAAGTAACATTTGCTTGACAGGGCGCTCTAACCTTATTTGTAAAAATCCTATGGTTAAGCTAGGTTATTTTCACCTCTAAGTTGTCCCTTCATGTCTGTGCTCCTATAAGTCTTTTACGTGAAGAGATATTGATCTCGCAGAGAATGGGCATTTATTAATTAATAATTAAATAAGTTCTTCTTAGGTTTTGCTAGGTTCTCTGAAATAATGAAAATTTTTCCCTGATCATTATTTTTTTCTATAAGAGATTGACCCTTTGGCCCCTTGTAGATCTAATGCTCATTTTCTAGGAGCAGAATTCATTGAAGACACAGAAATATAGTATAATTTGCCAAAGGAAAAAAAAGAGAAAGAGAAAGAAAGAAAAGTATGAAAAAATAAATTAAGCATAAGTGCTTCCAAAATATTTTTATTGTTTGTCAACTTTATTTTAGATCATTAGAGTAGGAATACAGGAAAAGGGAAAAGAAAGGCAGTCATATAGCTTTTTTGTTGTTTATGTGAATTATAGATTTTCTTAATGTACCTCTGATAATGATATAGGTATAAAGTGTGTGTTTATATAAAATAACATTTGATGAATTACAAAGTGATTCACAAATTCTAGAATATTTTTTCAAATAATAAAAATATAAAGAAGAAAATAAAAGTAAGCAGTATTTTGTTATATCAAAATTACCACAGTAACATTTTGTTGCATTTTCTTTTATTCTTTAAATATAAGAATTGCATGCTATTTTAAAACTACTTAAACTCATTTTTCTAGCATATTATTTAATTCTTTCTAGCATATTCTTTAAGAAAATTATTAATATTAGAAAAAATAAAAAAGTTGGAATAGAAAGAAAACAGCATGCTTTGATACACATTTTTAACAAAAATGAAAATACTAGGCACATAATGCTCTCAACAATGCTTTCTGACTTAACAATATGACATCACATTTTCATATGAATAAGCATTCATTAATATTATTGTTAGAAATGTACTCTATTTTATCATCACAAAATTGATTCTATCTTTTTACTATGCTGATATATGGACTCTTCACCGTTCTAAAGATGAGACAACTTTGGCTCTGAGATTGTTTTTATGTGTTTTGTTGTTGTTGTTATTTGTTGTATGTGACAAATACTCAGAGTAAGGAATTAAAATCATATCTTACACTATATTCTCTGTGTTAATCCCTACTGAGAGTCTGATGGCAAGACATTCATGCAGTTTTAATGTACCTATGGTTTATATGTAAATGTGTTTATAGTTTTGCTATATACAATTATGTCATAATATTGATTATTTTAAAATGTGGCCAGTGTCATTTTAAATTATTTTTGTTTTTATATTTTATTGCTTCATATTGCTAACTCCAAATCAATATTAGTAATTGGATTATGTCCTCCCATAGCTTTCTCCATTTTCATATAATTATATATTGGCTATTTTATGTGATTTTAAATCAAGGAATATATTTTCCATATACATTTCTACAGCTTGCTTCTCTCAATTCACAGCAGATCATGAACATTCTTCCCAGTAAGTTAATATGAATGTAGTAGATTCTACATCAGTTTGAAATATAAAATTATTCCTCACGTAAGGAAAAGTTAACATATACTTGGATAGGTTCAAGTTCATTCCTATGCTCTAATAGATACTCTAACAATCACTTCATTTTGAACAAAGTAGTAGTTGGGGGAAAATGTCTTATCATGGAGTTATAGCAATCAGTGCTAGTTGGGATGTTTATAGAAATTGTCTTGTGGGAACTTTAAAGAGAGGTTAAATTTATTAGAGATTGGAAATGATTCCAAAGGGTAACTTCGCGAGTTTAATTGTTGGAGAGCATGATGCACGTGATTTTTGAAAAATCTAAACAGGTAAAATAATAGTTGTTTAGACTATAGAGCTCCTAAATACTGACCTGGTTTGAAGGAGGTGGGGAACAAATTGTTGGCAAATAGACATTTTTGCCTTGAGGAAAAAAAATAGAGTTTCAAAAATACTTTCTCACAAACACAATAAACAATGGTAAAAAGTATATATTTTGTTTCTGGGCATATGCTTAAAAGAATTGAAAGCAGGATGTCAAGGAGGTATTTGCACATCCATGTTTATAGCAGCATTATTCACACACAATAGCTAAAATGTGGAAGCAACCTACTATCAACAAATGAATGAATAAGCAAAATATGATATATACACACAATAAAATATGATTCAGCTTTGAAAAGGAAGGACATTTTGACACATACTACAACATGGATGAAATTTGAAGACATTATGTTAAATAAAATAAACCAGTCACAAACAAACAAATGCTGTATGATTCCCTTACATGAGACATGTAGAAAGTAGTTGAATTCACAGAAAAGTAAAGTAAAATAGTGGCTGTCAGGGGCTTCAGGGAAAGGAAGAAAGAAGTTTAATTGGTATAGAATTTCAGATTTTCGAAATGAAAAAGTTTTGGGAATCTGTTTCACAACAGTGTGAATGTACATAAAATCTCTGAACAATACACTTAAAATGATTAAGATTGTAAATTTTTTGCCACATTAACATAATTTTTAAAAACTATAGCAGCAGAAAGCAAATCAATTTCTTTGAACTGGTGAAGTTAGGGAGGGTTTGACTATCAAGGGGGATGAAGGAATATCTTGGTTCTATTATGGTTATTCTTCCTCAGGTGTTTGGAAAAGTTTATAGAATTGCCAGCTAAAAACTGCATTTTACTGTATTTAACTTATACTTTAATTTTAAAATTATAGGCATTGGAAAAAATATATCATTCTAGTGCATAAAATTATTTTATGAAATATGAGAATGGAAAAGCGGTATTTTGAAATCAATATAGTTTGTGTTTTAATAAAAAATTAAATGTATGTTTGCATATCTTTTTTCCTGATTTAAAATGTTTACATTTATCTTTGTAAAAGGAAAGAAAAGAAATTTAGGAGATTCTTTTCATTAGAAATGAGTATTTCTTCTTATAGGTAAGCATATACGTGGAATTAATATACTAAAATTTATTTAACCATCTAGTTCTGATTGTTATTTAATTTGATGCAATTATGTTGTCACTCCAAAAAAAATACCTGCTATCAATATTAAATATATCCTTCTATACTTGTGCTTTTACTCACATGGTGTAAAGTCCTAAGAGTGAGCAGTAGATATATAGTGTTAATGTGATAGCTGTACCTTTTCTTTTCACCTTTACTGAAGTATAATTGGTATAATAAAATCAACATATAAATGGAAATATGTATATGCTTATGTAACCATCACCACAATCCAGGTCATAAACCTATCACCTCCAAAAGTTTCCTCTGTCCCTTTGTTTTTTTTTTCTTTTGTGTGTGTTTGGTGAGGACACCTCACATGAGTTCTAATGGCAGGGTCCCCAGTATGCCATACACTGGGCCAAGACCTACTTTCATTAACACTTTATTTTTTTGTTTATTCTCTGCTCTGCAGTATAAAGATATTGTTGAAAATGTAGAAATGACTTGCAGCTATGGGTAAAAGTGATGAGAAAAAGAGAAAGCATTAATGTTTATCTATAGCACAGAAAGTCAAGATGTTGGACAAACTAGATGGAGGTGTAAGAGTAAAATATCTTACAGAAGAGTACAGTGTTGGAATGACCATTGTATGTGACCTGAAGAAACAAAAGGATAAACTGTTGAAGCTCTATGCTGAAAGTGATGAACAGAAGTTAGTGAAAAATAGAAAAACAAGGCATAACATTTAAATGGAGATATTGATCATGTATTGAAAGACTGGATTCATCATTTCCCAGTGAATATATGCTACTTATTGGTGCGCTGATCATAAAACAAGAAAGATCTATCATAAGGAACTGAAAATTGAAGGAGAGTGTGAATATTCAACCAGCTGGTTGCAGAAATTTAAGAAAAGATACAGTATTAAATATTTAAATTTTGTGGTGATAAAGCCCCTGCTGATGACAAATCAACAAAGGAATTCATTGACAAGTTTGTCAAGGTCATCACTGATGAACATCTGATGGAAGAACAAGGCTATAATGCTGATGAAACATCACCATTTTGGCATTACTGCCCCAGAAAGAAAGCTGGTGAGACAGCCCCTACAGGAATTAAGAATGCCAAGGATAGAATAGCTGTTCTGGGATGTGCTAATGCAGCAGGCACACATAAATGTAAACTTGCTGTAGTAGGCTAAAGCTTGCATAGTCGCTACTTTCAAGTAATGAATATCTCACAAGTCTATTATTATGCTGGGAAAAGGTATAGTTAACCAGAAACATCTTTTCTAACTGGTGTCATAAACATTTTGTAGCAGCAGCTTGTACTTACTTCAGGGAAGCTGGACTAGATGATGACTGCATGATTTTTTTATTACTTGAAAACTATTCTTCTCATCTTCCAGCTGAAATTCTCATACAAAATAATATGTATGCATGCAATTTTCCCCAAATGTGACTTTATTCCTTCAGCCATGTGACAAGGGTATCCTTAGATCAATAAGAGTAAATATAAAACACTTTCTTGAACAGGATGCTAGTAACACTGAACAGAGGCATGAATGCAGAAGGTAATCAAAAGGAATTTAGTACAAAGGATACTATATTTGCTGTTGCCAATGCTTGAAATACAGTGATTGAAGACATAGTTGTGCATGCCTGCCACAACCACTAGCCTGAGACTTTGCTCAATGATGATAAAAACAAGGTCATGACTTTAAAGGATTCTGTATGTCAAGTCAGAAAAAAATAATTTTTAACCTCCTTACACCTGAAAACATATACCTTCAGGGTCTGTAATTAAGCCAGAAGTGCATATTGAAGAAGTTTTTAACATTAATGAGGATCCAGTTGTTCATTAATTTACTCATGGTAAAATAGCCAAAATAATTCTGAATTAAGGTGAATGTGATAACAGTGATGACAAAGATGATGTTAAAAATTGTAGAAAAAAATGCCTGAAAATGTGGAAGTGATTTTGGAACCAGGTAACAGGCAGGAGTTGGAACACTTTGGAGGGCTCAGAAGAAGATAGGAAGATGTGGAAAAATTTGGAACTTCCTAGAAACATGTTGAATGGTTTTGACCAAAATGCTAATAGTGATATCACCAAAGAAGTCCAGGCTGAAGTGGTCTCAGATGTAGATGATGAACTACATAATCAGAACTGGAGTAATGGCCACTCTTGCTATGCTTTAGCAAAGGTACTAGTGGGATTTTGCCCCTGCCCTAGAGATCTGTGGAACTTTGAACTTGAAAGAGATGATTTAGGGTATCTGGCAGAAGAAATTTCTAAGCAGCAAAGCATTCAAGAGGAAGCAGAACATAAACGTTTGGAAAATTTGCAGCCTGATGATGCAATAGAAAAGAAAAAACCCATTTTCTGGGGAGAAATTCAAGCCTGCTGCAGAAATTCGATTAAGTAATGAGGCACACAATGCTAATTTCCACGACAATGGAGAAAATGCCTCCAGGGCATGTCAGAGACCTTCATGGCAGCCCCTCCCATCACAGACCTGGAGGCCTAGGAGGGAAAAATGGTTACATGGCCTGGACCCAGGGTCCCCATGCTCTGTGCAGCTTGAGACATGGTGCTTGGCATCCCAGATGCTTCAGTTCCACTCATGGCTAAAAGGGGCCAATGTACAGCTTGGGCCATTGCTTCACAGGGTGCAAGCCCCAAGCCTTGGCAGCTTCCATGTGATGTTGAGCCTGTGGGTGCAAAAAAGTCAAGAATTCTTGTTTGGGAACCTCCACCTATATTTCAGAGGATGTATGGAAATGCCTGGATGTCTAGGCAGAAGTTTGCTTCAGGAGCGGAGCCCTCATAGAGAACCTCCACTAGGGCAATGTGGAATGGAAATGTGAGGTTAGAGCCCCAACACAGAGTCTCCACTGGGGCACTGCCTAGTAGAGCTGTGAGAAGAGACCCATCATCCTCCAGACCCTAGAATGGTAGATCCACTGATAACTTGTAAAATGTGTCAATGTTAACCCATGGAAGCAGCTGGGAGGGTGGCTGTACCCTGCAGAGCCATAGGGGTGGAGCTGCCCAAGGCTGTGAGAGCCCACCTGTTTCATCAATGTGACCTAGATGTGAGACATGGAGTCAAAGGAGATCATTTTAGAATGTTAAGATTTGACTGCCCTGCTGTTTTTCAGACTTACATGGGGCCTGTAGCCCCTTCATTGGCTAATTTCTCCATTTGGAGTGCTGTACTCCCATTGTATCTAGGAAGTAACTAATTTGCTTTTGATTTTACAGGCTTATAGGTGGAAGAGACTTGCCTTGTCGCAGATGAGACTTTGGACTTGGACTTTTGGGTTAATGCTGGAATGACTTAAGACTTTGAGGTACTGATGGAAAGGCATGATTATGTTATGAAATGTGAGGACATGAGATATGGGAGAGGCCAGGGATGGAATGATATAGTTTGGCTGTGTCCCTGCCCAAAATTTCATCTTGAATTGTAATCCCCATAATTCCCATTATCCCCACATATCAAGGGCAGGACCTGGTGGGTGGAGGCAATTCGATCATGGGGATGGGTCAAATGGTATTTCTGCTTCTAGATTTTTGAGGAATCACCACACTGTCTTTCACAGTGGTTGAACTAAATTACATTCCCTCCAACAGTGTAAAAGTGTTCCTTTTTCTCAGGAAACCCATCAGCATCTGTTATTTCTTGACTTTTTAATAATTGCCATTCTGACTGGCATGAGATAGTACCTCATTGTGGTTTTGATTTGCATTTCTCTAACGATCAGTGATGTTAAGCTTTTTTTCATATGTTTGTTGACTGCATGGATTTCTTCTTTTAAGAAGTGTCTCTTCATGTCCTTTGCCCACTTTTTATGGGATTGTTTGTTTTTTTTCATGTAAATTTGTTTAACTTCCTTCCTGGATATTATACCTTTGTCAGATGGATAGATTGCAAAAATTTCCTCCAATTCTGTAGGTTGTCTGTTCACCCTGATGGTAGTTTCTTTTGCTGTGCAGATGTTCTTTAGTTTAATTATATCCCATTTGTCAATTTTTGCTTTTGTTGCAATTGCTTTTGGTGTTTTCTTTACGAAATCTTTGCCCATGCCTAAGTCCTGAATGGTATTGCCTGGATTTTTTTCTAGGGTTTTTATAGTTTTGGGTTTTACATTTAAGTCTTTAATCCACCTTGAGTTAATTTTTTATATAAGCTTTAAGTAACGGGTCCAGTTTCAACTTCCTGCATATGGCTAGCTTTTTCTCCGAGCACCATTTGTTGAAAAGGCAATCCGATCCCCATTGCTTGTTTTTGTCAGGTTTGTCAATGATCAGATAGTTGTAGGTGTGTGGTCTTAATTCTGGGTTCTCGATTCTGTTTCATTGGTCTATGTGTCTGTTTTTATACCAGTACCATCCTGTTTTGGTTACTGTAGCCTTGTAGTGTAGTTTGAAGTCAGGTTGTGTGATGCCTCCAACTTCGTTCTTTTTACTTAAGATTGAATTGGCTATACAGTCTCTCTCATGGTTCCATGTAAATTTTAAAATACTATTTTTTCTAATTCTGTGAAGAATGTCAATGGTGTTTAATGTAATCTATAAATAACTTTGGGCAGTGTGGCTATTTTCATGATATTGATTTTTCCTGCCCATAAGCATAAAATGTTTTTGCATTTGTTTGTGTCCTCTTTGATTTCCTTAAGGAATGGTTTGTAGTTCTCCTGGAAGAGGTCCTTCACTTCTCTTGTTAGCTGTATTCCTAGATATTTTATTCTCTTTGTGGCAGTTGTGATTGGGAGTTAATTCATAACAAATTATGAATTAGAAGCTCTTTGCTTGTCTGTTGTTGGTTTATAGGAATGCTTGTGATTTCTGCACGTCGATTTTTTATTCTGAGACTTTGCTGAAGTTGCTTATCAGCTTAGGAAGCTTTTGGGCTGAGATGATGGGGTTTTGTAGATATAGGATCATGCCATCTGCAAACAAAGACAATTTGACTTCCTCTCTTCCTATTTGAATGCACTTTATTTCTTTCTCTTGCCTGATAACCCTGGCCAGAACTTCCAATACTATGTTGAATAAGAGTGGTGAGAGAGGGCATCCTTGTCTTCTGCTGGTTTTCAAGGGGAAAGATTCCAGCTTTTGCCTATTCAGTATGATATTGGCTATGGGTTTGTCAGATATGGCTCTTATTGTTTTAAGATATATTTCTTCAATACCTGTTTTATTGAGAGTTTTTAACATGGAGGGATATTGAATTTTATTCAAGGCCTTTTCTGTATCTATTGAGATAATCATGCGGTTTTTGTCTTTAGTTCTGTTTCTGTGATAAATTACATTTATTGATTTGTATATGTTGAACCAAACCTGCATCCCAAGGATGAAGCCAACTTGATCATGGTGGATAAGCTTTTTGATGTGCTGCTGAAGTCCGTTTGCCAGTATTTTATTGAGGAAGATTTTTGCATCAGTGTTCATCAGGGATACCGGCCTGAAGTTTTGTTGTTGTTGTTGTTGTATCTCTGCCAGGTATTGGTAGGATGATGCTGGCCTCATAAATTGAGTTAGGGAAGAGTCCTTCGTTTTCAATTATTTGGAATAGTTTAAGTAGAAATTGTACCAGCTTCTCTTTGTACCTCTGGTATAATTCAGCTGTAAATCCATCTAGTCCTGGGCTTTTTTTGTTGGTAGGCTATTTAGTACTGCCTCAATTTCAGAACTCCTTATTCATCTATTTACGGATTCAATTTCTTCCTGGTTCAGTCTTGGGAGGGTGCATGGATCCAGGAATGTATTCATTTGTTCTGGATTTTCTAGTTTATGTACATAGAGGTGTTTATAGTATTCTGTGATGGTTATTTGTATTTCTGTGGGGTTAGTGGTGATCTCTCCCTTATTTCTGATTGTGTCCATTTGATTCTTCTCTCTTTTCTTCTTTTTGATTCTAGCTAGCAGTCTAACTACTTAATTATTTTTTTCAAAAGCCAGTTCCTGGATTCACTGATTTTTTTAAAGGGTTTTTCTTATCTCTAGCTCCTTTGGGTATGCTCTGATTTTGGTTATTTATTGTCTTCTGCTAGCTTTGGAGTTTGTTTGCTCTTGGTTCTCTAGTTCTTTTAGTTGTGATGTTAGGTTATTGACTTGAGATCTTTCTAGGTTTTTGGTGTGGTCATATAGTGCTATAAATTTCCCTCTGAACACTGCTTTAGCTGCAACCCAGAAATTTTGGTATGTTGCCTTATTGTTCTTATTAGTTTCAAAGAACTTCTTGATTTTTGCCTTAATTTCATTATTTACCCAGGAGTCATTTAGGAGCAGGTTATTCAATTTCCATGTAGTTGTGCGGTTGGGATATGTTTCTTAATCTTGAATTCTAATTTGATTGTGTGGTGGTCTGCAAAACTGTTTGTTATGATTTCAGTTCTTTTGCATTTGCTGAGGGGGTGTTTTGCTTCCAATTAAGAAATCAATTTAAAGTAAGTTTCATGTGGCAATGAGAAAAACATATATCTGTTGTTTTGGGGTGGAGAGTTCTGTAGATATCTATCAGGTCCACTTGATCCAGAGCTCAGTTCAGGTCCTGAATATGTTTGTTAATTTCCTGTCTCGATGATCTGTCTAACATTATCAGTGGGAGGTTAAAGCCTCCCACAATTATTGTGTAGGAGTCTAAATCTTTAAGGTCTCTAAGAACTTGTTTTATGAATCTATGTGCTCCTGTATTGGGTGCATATATATGTACGATAGTTAGCTCTTTTTGGAGAATTGAACCCTTTACAATTATGTAATTCCCTTCTTTGTCTTTTTTGATCTTTGTTTGTTTAAAATGTTGTGTTGTGTCATAAACTACGATTGCAACCCCTGCTTTTTTCTGTTTTCTTACTTGCTTGGTAAACATTCCTCCATCCTTTTATATTGAGGCTATGTGTGGCTTTGCATGTGAGATTTGTCTCTTGCAGACAGCACACTGATGTGGCTTGACTCTATACAGCTTGCCATTCTGTGTCTTTTAATTGGGGCATTTGAACTATTTACATTTAAGGTTAATATTGTTATGTGTGAATTTGATCCTGTCATTATGATGCTAGCTGATTATTTTGCAGACTTGTTTATGTAGTTGCTTCATGTTATCACTAGTCTGAGTACTTTGGTGTGTTTATGTAGTGGCTGGTGGTTTTTCCTTTCTACATTTAGTGTTTTCTTCAGGAGCTCTTGCAGGGCAGGGCAGGGCAGGGGTGATGAATTCCTTCAAGGTTTGCTTGTCTGAAAAGGATCTTATTTCTCCTTTAGTTATGAAGCTTAGTTTGACTGGGTATGAAATTCTGGGTTGGAAATTCTTTTATGTAAGATTGTTGACTATGAGCCCCCAATCTCTTCTGGCTTGTAGGGTTTCCACTGAAAGGCTTGCTTTTAGTCCGATTGGATTCTCTTTGTAGGTGATCTGGCCTTTCTCTCTGGCTGCCCTTAATGTTTTTTCTTTCATTTACACCTTGGATAATTTGATAATTATATGTCTTGGGGTTGATCTTCTTGTGGAGTAAGTTACTGTGGCTCTCTGGATTTCCTGAATTTGAATGTTATTCTATCTTCCTAGGTGGGGAAGTTCTCCTGGATATCATAAAGTATGTTTTCCAGCTTGGTTCTATTCTTCCCGTCCCTTTCAGGTACCCCAATAAGTAATTGGTTCAGTCTTTTTACATAATCTCATATTTCTCAAAGGTTTTGTTCATTCCTTTTCATTCTTTTTTCTGTATTCTCGTCTGCCTGTCTTATTTCTGAAAGTGTATTAGTCCATTCTCATGCTACTATGGAGAAATATCCAAGAACTGGTAATTTATGAACAAAAGAGCTTTTATTGATTCACAGTTCTGTATAGCTTTGAGGCTTCAGGAAACTTACAATCATTGTGGAAGGCACCTCTTCACAGGCAGGCAGAAGAGAAAATGAGTGCCAGCAGAGGAAATGCCAGATGCTTATGAAACCATCAGATCTCATGAGAACTTACTCACTATCATGAGAACAGCATGGGGGAAACCACGCCCATGATTCAATTACCTCCCACCAGGTCCCTTGCATGACATGTGTGGCTTATGGGGATTAAAATTCAATATGGGATTTGCGTAGGGATATAGCCAAACCATATCATTCCACCCCTGGCATCTCCCAAATCTCATGTCCTCACATTTCAAAACACAGCCATTCCTTTTCAACAGTTCCTCAAAGTCTTAACTCATTCCAGCATTAACCCAAAAGTCAAGTCCAAAGTCTCATCTGAGACAAGGGAAGTCCCTTCCACCCATGAGCCTGTAATATCAAAAGCAAGTTAGTGACTTCCTAGATACAATAGGGGTACTGGAATTGGGTAAATACACCCATTCCAAGTGGTAGAAGTTGGCCAAGATGAAGGGGCTACAGGACCCACGTAAGTCTGAAATCCAGTGGGACACTCAGATCTTAAAGCTCTAAAATGATCTCCTTTGACTCCATGTCTCACATCCAGGTCACACTGATGCAAGAGAGGTGGTCTTTCATGGCCTTAAGCATTTCTGTGCCTGTGGCTTTGCATGGTACAACCCCCCTCCCAGCTGCTTTCACAGCTGGCATTGAGTGTCTGCGGATCTTCCAAGCACATGGTGCAATCTGTTGGTGGATCTATCATTGTTGGGTCTGGAAAACAGTGGCCCTCTTTTCACAGTCCACTAGGCAATGCTCCAGTGAGAACTCTGTGTGGGGTCTCCGACCCCATATTTCCCTTCTGCACTGCCCTAGCAGAGGTTCTTCATGAGTGCTCTGCCCCTGCAGCAAACCTCTGCCTGGCATTCAGGCATTTCCATACATCCTCTGAAGTCTAGGTGGAGGTCCCCAAACCTCAATTCTTTTCTTCTGTGCACCTGCAGGCCCAACAGTATGTGGAAGCCACTAAGGCTTGAAACTTGTACCCTCTGAAGCAATGGCCGGAGCTGTACCTTGGCCCCTTTTTGCCATGGCTGGAGTGGCTGGGGTGCAGGACACCAAGTCCTAAGGGTGGACAGAGCAGGGAGGACCTGGACCCAGTGCAAGAAACCATTTTTCCCTCCTAGGCCTCCAGGCCTGTGATAGGAGGAGCTGCTGTGAAGGTCTCTGACGTGCCCTAGAGTCATTTCCCATTGTCTTGGAAATTAGCATTTGGCTCCTCATTAATTATGCAAATTTCTGTAGCAAGCTTGTATTTCTCCCCAGAAAATGGGATTCTCTTTTCTACTGCATGGTTAGGCTGCAAATTTCCCAAACTTTTATGCTCTGCTTCCTCTTGAATGCTTTGCTGCTTAGAAATTCCTTCCACCAGATACCCTAAATCATCTCTCTCAAGTTCAAATTTTCACAGATCTCTACTAATTTTGTGTTGAATTTGTTCTTGCTTTTCTACTTTTTAAAAATACATAATTAGGTTGTATATTTGAAGTTTTTTTTTTTAATTTTTTGCCATAGGCATTTATTGCTAGAAACTTCCCTCTTAGTATTGCTTTTGCTGTATCCCAGAGGAGGTGTTTATCCATGTTGTCTTGTAACTCACTGAGCTTCTTTAAAACATTATTTTGAATTTTTTATTGGGCAGTGGAGTGTTTTCTCTTTCTTTAGGTTGGTTGCTCTAAATTTATTTATTTATTTATTTTTTATTGTATATTTCTAATTATTCATGTTCTTTGTAGCTTTACTTTGATTTATGCACATTTGGAGAAATAGCCCACTCTTCCCTTCTTTATCAGCTGAGTTTAATAGGAAAAGACCTTTACCATTTAGCACTGCTGGAAATTCTGGACCTTTCTTCCTAGCTGTCCATGGTACCCAGAACAGAGCATCATTTATGTGGTGGAATTTCTGTGGTACCTGCCTTTATTTTTCACATAAAACTTTAGTAAATAAATATACAATCTATTTATTCTAAACAAATTTCTTAAAGGTGGACCCCAAATTGGTGAGGATATAGTTATGAAGGGCTCTTTTTCATTCCATCCATCCTGAATTTTGTCCATCCCAAGGTTGGAACTTTGACTACATCTTTGTCTTAGAATCAAGAGCAAAACCCAGGGAAAAGATGCTGAGTCTTTTTTTTTTTTCTCATGATATCTTATTTATATTAAGGCATTTATATTAAGGACTTTAGCATTCAGATTACCGAATTTTATTTTAACATGGTTGGGTATAAAATAGTTTATATAAATTTTCACGTTTCTCTTTCTATTTTTAGCTATGCTAAACCTAGGATCCATTGGTGAAACCATCACTGCCTTATTAATAGTTATTTTTCTTGAAAACCAGTAAGGATATGAGGTATTTCTGTGGGCTGAAATGTGTGCAAACCACAACTTAAGAGAGATAGAAATTTATTGGTGAAAACACAGTCAAGATGAAAGAAAGCCAAAGGATTTTGAATTGCACAAACTATTTGGAGTCATTAAAACAATGTTACCTCTCTTACAAATCTACTGATTTGTGTATTAATGTAGGACAGATTTCAATTTCATGCTTAGAGAATAGATGAGATCATATTTAAAATCCTTCAGCCTTAGCAAAGAAGGCTAAATGGATGCAATGGCTTTAAACATCTTTAAATGGAGGGAGGCCATTCTGCAGTCACAGATGAGAATGTTTTAACAAAGAATTAAGAACGTTCTAAAATGAATTAAGTATTGGAACAGGTAATGTAATGCACTAAGTTTAAAGAAACAAATAGCTGGCATGGTGCAGTGGCTCACGCCTGTAATCCCAGCACTTTTGGAGGCCAAGGTGGCTGGATCACCTGAGGTTGGGAGTTCGAGACCAGCCTGACGAACATGGAGAAACCTTGTCTCTACTAAAAATACAAAATTAGCCGGGAGTGGTGGCGCATGTCTGTAATCCCAGCTACTCGGGAGGCTGAGGCAGGAGAATCACTTGCACCTGGGAGACGGAGGTTGTGGTGAGCTGAGATTGCACTCCAACCTGGGCAACAAGAGTGAAACTCTGTCTCAAAAAAAAAAGAAAGAAAGAAAGAAAGAAAGAAACATATAGCTATTTGTCCAAGGATCATAAACTAGTAAACATCTATAGGCAATATTCTTAAATAGCTCTCTCCACATAAGCCAATGTGCTGTTATTAGTGGATAATATTTATTTTGCATGAAAGAGAGGACAGGGAAATTTATTGTTATGCTGCAGGAATACTATGAAGTTAAGGCTTATTAAAATATAGATGCTTGATCGGCTTTAAGTGCAATAACTATTATTACAGTGAATGTAGCATTTATATTATAAGGGAAATTAATACAGAAAAGACAGAATCTCTAAGTGTGCTGGGGATAGGGAATGTGGGAAAAAATATAAGAGAATGCTGAAAGAAAAAAGAGATTACAATCTTCTTTGAACCATTCTCCAAAAGAGTAGTTGTTAAAATTTTCTTATAAGAAATCTATTATTTACAAAATATCTATTTGTAAAGCAAAGGAGAATAAATAATTATATACCAGGAATTTGCATCAAAATTGAGGCACAGCATGTCTAGAGAAATGGAATAGAAAAGAAAACAATATGTATCAGTTATATACCATCTGTTAGGCACACTGATAGGTTTTATAATCATGCCATGTAATCTTAGAAAGATTGAAACTATTTTGAGAAAATCGTTAATATTTTACAGAAGCATTTGTCTATTTTTATTTTAAAAGTGGTATTTTATTATTAGATTTATAACATACAGGCCCACTGAACAGAACATATTTCTTTCATATATATGTGCAGTTTTAAATGTACACATACTGTAAGTAAATAATTGTGGTATTTAAAATGATAGACAAACAGATTTAGCTTCTATTTTTCCTTAATATTAAATAGTATCTAGCTTGATGTTTTCCATTCATCCTATCCAAATATCCCACTAGAATAGATATTAAATACAAAATAAAGAAAAAGAGTAAGAAAGGAAAAAGAAAATCAGTAAACCCAAAACTAGGAGAAAATCTGAGAAACTGGGAGACATCTCCTCTAGTTTTCAGCTGAGTTAACTGAGTAAAAGCTACTGAAAAGGTATCTCTTGAGATTAAGATGATGTAATGAAACAATAATAACTAAGAATTTTCCCCAAATTAATATAAAACCAAAGCCACAGATTCAGGAAGCTCAGAGAACCTTAAGCAACAAAAGTGCCACATACACAAAAAAATTATGCCTGTACATATTATATTCAATCTTCAAAAAATCAATGACATAAACAAACCCTTGAAAGAAGCCAAAGTGGGGGGAACTTTACCTCTAAAGAAGCAAAGATGAGAATTACATCTGACTTCTCAGAGACTATGCAAGTGAGAACAAAATGGAGTGAAATATTAAAATAAAAGGAAAAAATACTAAGAAATTATAATTCTGTACTCTGAAATTATGCTTCTAAAATGAAGAATAAATAAAACTTTTGTCAGACAAATAAAAATTGAGGGGCGTTTTAGCCAGTTGATATGCCTTGCAAGAAATGTTAAATGTTCTTTGGAGAGAAGAAAAATGATACAGGTCAGAAACCTGGATTTACGTAAAGAAAGAGCATTGGAAAAACAATTAGTGAAGGTTAATAAAGCATTTTATTTTTCTTATTCTTGATTGATCTAAAATAAAATAGTTTGTTCAAAATATTAATAGCAACGATGTATTTAAGTATGCTTATGTACAAGTGAAGTGAATGACAACAATGATACAAGGAATGGAGGGAATTATTTTGTTAATATAAGGTACTCATACTACCAATGAAGTGGTATAGTGTTATTTGAAAGTGGATTTGGATTAGTTATAAATGTTACAAACTCTAGGACAATCACTAAAGAAAGTAAAAAAAAAAAAAAGTATAATTGGTATACCAGAAAATGAAATGATATAAAATGTTTGATTCAAACCACAAAAGTCAGAAAAAGTGTGGAAGGCCAAAAGAGGACCAAACAACAAATAGAAATACAGTCTCCAATATGATAGATATTAATTTATCAACAATAACTTCAAGTGTCAATGGTCTAAATACAGCAATTAAAAGATAGAGATTGTCAGAGTGGATCCAAAAACAAATTCCAACTTTCCAATGTCTAGAAAAAACTGATTTTAAATATAAAGATACATATAGCCTAAAAGTAATAGAATATGTACCATGCAAACACTAATTTAAAAAGAAGGAGGTAGCTATATTAATTTCAGACAGAGTAGACTTCACTGCAAGAAAAGTTTTGAGGACTAAAAAGGAACATTACTTCATGATAAGGGAGTCAACACTCCAAGATGACATAGTAATTCTTAATGTTCATTCACCTAAAACTAAAGCTTCAAAATATGTGAGGCAAAAACTG
The DNA here is from genome assembly GCF_000001405.40 of Homo sapiens. NCBI lineage: Eukaryota > Metazoa > Chordata > Mammalia > Primates > Hominidae > Homo > Homo sapiens. The sequence goes on from NC_000010.11 coordinate 81,243,605, forward strand.
ATAGAACCACAAGAAAATATAGATGAAGCCACTATTACAGCTGGAGATTTTAATACCCCTCTATCAGAAATGGACGGACTGCAGGAGAAAATCATAAGGACATAGTTTAACTTAGTGGTACCCCCAATTAACTGAATATAATTGACATCTATAGACTATTTCATCTAACAACAGCAGATTACAAATTTTTCTCAAGTTCTCATGAAATGTCCACTGAGATAGACCACATGCCAGGCCATTTACCCCAACAAAAGTAAAAGAGTAGAAGTCATATAATGTCTTCTCTGAAACAACAAAAACAATTAAACCAGAAATCAATAACAGAAAGACAGGTGATGCTTTAGACAAAATGCTTGTGTTCCCTGAAGATTTACATGTTGAATTCTAACATCTAATGTGATGATATTAGAAAGTGGAGATTTTGGGAAGTGATTGGGTCATGAGGGCAGAGCCATCAAATAGGATTAGTATCCTTGTAAAAGAGACACAGAGAAGTCCCTTGACCTTTCTGCATGTGAGAATATAGCAAAAACATGACTGTTTATAAACCAGAAAGCTAGTTCTCACCAGATGTTGAATCTGCTAGCTCCTTGATCTTGGATTTCCCAAACTCCAGAACCGTGAAAAATAAATATTGTTTACAAGCCACTCAATCTATGGTATTGTGTTAGGGCAGCTTACATGGATTAAGACAGTTAGAATATCCAAAAATGCTTGGATATTAAATAACACACATCTAAATAACACAGGGGTCAAAAAAGAATCTCAAGAGAAATGTTCAAATATTTAGAACTAAATAAAAATGAAAATAAAACTTACCACAATTTGTGGGATGCAGCAAAATGAGTGCTTCAAGGGAAATTTATAGCATGAAATGCATATTTCTGGAAATAAGAATATCTAAAATCAATCAATGATCTTCCACCCTAAAAATCTAGAAAAAGGAAAGCCAATTAAATCAAAAGTGGAAAAGAAAAATAAAAACTAGAACAAAAATCAATAAAATTAAAAGCAGGAAATCAATGGAGAACATCAACAAAACTGAAAGTGGTTGTTTGAAAAGATCAGTAAGCCTTTAGTCACACTAAATAACAATAAAAGACAAAAGACAATTGCTAATGTCAAAATTAAAGAAGGAACATCACCATAGATTCCATGAACATTAAACAAATAATAAAGAAATATGTGAATAAATTGATGCTCTCAAATTTGATAATTTAAATGAAAAAGGCCAATTACTTGAAAAGCACAACCTTCAAAAACTCATAAAAGAAGAAATACGTAATCTGACTAGGCCTACATCCATTGAAATATTTGAATCAATAATTAATAACCTTGCAAAAGAAAAAGCGCCAAGCTCCAGTAAGTTCACTGGTGAATTCTATCAAACACTTAAGAAAGAAATTATACCAATTACCTACACTCTCTTCCAGAAGATAGAAGTAGAAAGAATACAGCCTGAATATCCCTCATCCAAAATGCTTGAAATAAGAGGTATTTTGGATTTCACGTTTATAAATGTTTGCACATACAGTTCTTCCTTTGTATCTGTGAAAAATTGGGTTTAAATCCTCCCACAAATACCAAAATCCAAGGACTTTCAAGTTCCTTATATAAAATGATATAGTATTTGTTTATAACCTATGCACATGCTCTTATCTACTTTAAATTATCTCTAGATTACTTATAATATCTAATACAATGTAAATGTTACATAAATAGTTTTTATTGTTTGGGAATAAGGACCAAAAAACGTCTGTATATCTTAATACAAACACAATCCTTCATTGTTTTCAAATGTTTAATATTTCAAATATTGGTGGAATTTGCAGATGTGGAACCCTTGGATGCAGAGGTCAGCTGTACATAATGAGATATCTTGAAAATGGGACCCAAATCTAAACACAAAATTTATGTTTTATATATACCTTATACATATAGTCTGAAAGTAATTTTATACAATATTTTTAAGTAATTTTTTACATGAAACAAAATTTGTGTATGCTTAACAGTCAGAAAGCAAGTGTCACTGTATCAGTTACCCATGCGGACAATCTGTGGTTGTCTGGCATCGCCATTATTCCTGACCTTATATTTATATGCTGCTGATAAACAATAATTTTCTTACACTTATTCACCAATAAGCGCTTAACAGTAGAAAAATAATGGCATACCATTAATACAGTGAAACAATAATGTGTTCATGGTAACTACACAGCACAGTAGCATCATCAGAATACCTGTTCCAGCTGTTAAAAACAATAGATAATGGGCTGGGCGCGGTGGCTCACGCCTGTAATCCCAGCACTTTGGGAGGCCAAGGTGGGCGGATCACCTGAGGTCAGGAGTTGGAGACCAGCCTCAACATGGAGAAACCCCATCTCTACTAAAAATACAAAAAAAAAAAAAAAAAAAAAATTAGCCCGGTGTGGTGGTGCATGCCTGTAATCCCAGCTACTTGGGAGGCTGAGGCAGGAGAATTGCTTGAACCTGGGAGGCGGAGGTTGCGGTGAGCCGAGATCGCTCCATTGCACTCCAGCCTGGGCAACAAGAGCGAAACTCAGTCTCAAAAAAAAAAAAAAGATAATGGCAGGCTTCTGGCTTCCACCTATGATGCTGCAGTTTGATTAAAAGACTGTACAATGTATCTTTTTTTAGGTGAGAAGAGCCTTCAGAAGCAGTTGAGGGACCAGAACGTGGGTCCTCTAAGGATGGCTTTTTAAAATGTTTCCTCCAGAATAATCTGCCTACTTTACATTTTTTTAACTTTACAGCTCTCTTTAATTATATACACTGACATGATTTCTTGTTCTGCTATGAATGCACATGGTTCCTATCCTTCAAAAGCCCATAAACATTTTTACCATGTCATCTTGTATTAGCCTGTTCTCACATTGTTATAAGGAAATACCCAAGACTGGGTAATTTATAAAGAATTATAGTAGAAGAGAAATAAAAAAGATCAGAGCAGAAATAAATGAAATTGAGACTTAAAAAAACACAAAAAATCAATGAAACAAAAGTTACGTTTTGAAAAGATAAACAAAATCAACAAACCTTTATCCAGATGAAGGAAATAAGATTAAACACTCAAATAAATAAAATCAGGGATGAAAAAGGAGACATTACAACTGAACCATAGAAATGTAAAGGATCATTAAAGACGATTATGCAGCCAAGCATGGTGGTTAATGACTATAATTTCAACACTTTGGGAGGCCAAGGCTTGAAGATTGCTTGAGTCCAGGAGTTTGAAACTAGCCTGAGCAATATAGGGAGACTTCTGTCTCTACAAAAAATAATACAAATAAAAATTAGCTGGGCATGAAGTTGCATGTCTGTGGTCCTTGCTACTCAGGAGGCTAAGGTAGAAGGATCACTTGGGCCCAGGAGGTCTGCAGTGAGCCAAGATTACACTACGGCTCCAGCCTGGGTGACAGAGCGAGACTCCATCTCAAAAAAAAAAAAAAAGAAAAAGAAAAAGAAACTTAGAATAAGTGAATAAATTCCTAGATATGTAAAACCTACCAAGATTTAACCATGAAGAAATCCCAAACCTGAATAGACCAACAATAAGTAACAAATATCAAAGCTGTAATAAGAAAGCTCCCTTCAAGAATACTCCAGGACCTGATGGCTTCACTATTAAATTCTAGCGAACATTTAAAGAAGAACAGAGCTATAAAGTACTACATATCTGGGGAGTGAAATGTTTTCTCCGGCTCAGTACTTTCCTGAACCCAGAGATGCTCTTAGCAATTACCACTCTTCCCACTAATACTTTCATTGAAAGATCAAAAACAAGAAGTCTAAGTACAGTTATTTCAACTAAAAATAAGACTATGTAACACACCAACAAATGTAAAATACAAATAAATCCAGATTTCTTTCATAAATGGCTGTTGAGTCAGTAATCTGCACAGCATTTCTGAAGGTCTTCCTTTTACATTATTGGTGCAGTGAATATTGGCACATTGATTTTTTTTTTTGACAGTTTTTCGCTCTTGTTGCCCAGGCTGGAGTGCAATGGCACAATCTCAGCTCACCGCAACCTCCGCCTCCCAGGTTCAAGCAATTCTCCTGCCTCAGCCTCCCAAGTAGCTGGAATTACAGGTGCACACAACCATGCCTGGCTAATTTTTGTATTTTTTGTAGAGACAGGGTTTCACCATGTTGGCCAGGCTGGTCTCGAACTCCTGACCTCAGGTGATCCGCCCGCCTTGGCCTCCCAAAGTGCTGGAATTATATGCATGAGCCACCACACCCGGCCGGCACACTGATTTTTAATGGCAATTCTAGATGCATGTTTCCTTTGATTTAATAATTGCTCTTCTAGGAATTGAGAACTTGGTAGAGTGTAGGATGTTACACTGTTGTTTCAAAAGGGGTATATCATATCTATAAGCACTAGTTATAAATTATCTAAATACTATTATAAGGAAATGGTCTGCTCTTATAAATGATTCTGTAAACTTTTTGATATAGAAATATTTTCATAGTATACATATATATTTTTATATGCCTCTTTAAATTTATTTTTATTTTATCTGTGTTCAATATATTTTGATACACACACACAGTAAAATAATTAATAAGGTCAAACAAATTTCCATAGTCATCATCTTCCATAGTTATGTTTTATTGTGTGTGTGGCAAGAGCAACTAAAATCTACTCTTTTACCATATTTTTGTGTACAGTACATCATTGGGAATAATGCTGCAATGAACCTAAAAGCATAGAAAATGTCTATGAGGTGCTGATTTCATTTCCTTTTGGTTTATAACCAACAGAGGGATTGCTGGGTCACAAGGTTGTTTGTTTGTTTTTAAGAAATTCTGTACTGTTTTCTATAATTGGTCTACCCATTATACACATTAACAGTGTATAGAGTTTCGATTTTCTCATAGTATATTTTTAGTGGAAAAATTTATGATATGGTTTATACGGAAGGATCACCTGCATATATCTGTATCTATATATAATTCCATAAGTCTAAAGGCATGCATTCTAAAATATTAACAGAATAATCTCTGAATATTAGACTTTATAATTATCCAAATTCCCCTTTATTTTCTAAAGGTAAACCTCTACTAATTTAATAATAAAATACAGTAAAGGAAAAGATGAATAGCTCTAAAAATTAGTTTCCAGGGGTGAGAATTACTGAGCAAAATAAAGAAACAAATTTGAGGTCATCAGTGGGAATCTTTGTTTTTTGCACGGTTTCTCAAGAGTAAGCCTGTCTCCTTTTTGGTGGAATATCTAGTCCATAATGCCTTTCAGGAGTGAGTAACATTCGTTTCTGAATTAACTTTCAGTTTACTGGCAATTGTTTGTACCAGACTTAATTTTTAGTGTATTAAGTCTTGTGTATTTATAGCATCAATTGAAGAACTTCTTGGGAATGAGGCAGTAATAAAAGCATCAGAGTATTCACAGGATGTGGTTAGGTATTAAAAACACACTACGCGGCTGACATGCCTGTGTTTTAAGCATACTGTGGTCTCCAGAGCTATAACTCTGAGTTATTTATTTTCTTTCTCCTTTAATTTTCAGGTTTACAAACTGCTTTTGGAACAGTTCCCTTGTATACCATTTATAATAAGAAACTCTTTAAGGTTGGGCTGTTCTCTAATTGGCCTCTGGATAGTTCAGTTTTCCAAGAGAACAAGTTTGAGGGCAGATAAACACATTCACATGTTTAAACTCAACTTAACTTTCACTCTATCAGTGTATCTTCACTCTGCCTTAGTTCCCTCTCCCTGGGCTCAAATTTCTTTTTTGGTAGAGTCAGGGTGCTATGGTTTGAACGTGTTCTCCAAAGTTCGTGTGTTGGAAACTTAATCTCCAATGCAACAGTGTTGAGAGCCGAGATCTTTAAAAGGTGATTAGGTCATGAGGTCTTTGCCCTTATGGATGGATTAATGTTGTTATCACAAGGGTAGATTAGTTATAGCCATAATGGGTTCCTGACAACAGGATGGGTTTGCTGCCCTTCCTCTCTTCTCTCTCTTTCTCTTTCTCTCTCTTATTTGCTCTCACTTTTTCTGGTGTGCCCTCTTGTCCTTCCACCTTTCATCATAGGATGATGCAGAAAGATGATGATGATGATACAGGCCACTCAACCTTGGATTTCCCAGTGTCCGGAACTGTAAGAAATAAATCTCTGTTTCATACAAGTTACCCAGTCTCAGATATTTTGTTATAGCAAATCAAAAGCGACTTAAGACAGAGGGAGACACTTTATTTTGTACATGAGTCTTTTATTATTCCTTCTCTTACACTGAGAATTATGTAATACTTTAGGTTGGCTAGCAATAGTATAACATGTTACAAATATTGAACTGTAAAAAATATAAGGGTTGCTTTTGCTGAGTTATCATCAAAATGAAACAATAGAGATTCAAAAATACGTGCATAATAAAAATAAGAAGAATATGGCTAATATTGGTGAATGAGATTTCAAAGTAATTTCTAAAGGACAGAAATTATAAAATAGACTAGAAAAAACTGGGCTGAGGCTATGTGGACATAGATCTACCGATAAGTACATCTGAGAAGCTCTCATCTCAGGGTGGTAGGGACAGGCAGATAGAAGCAACAAAGATGAGCTTCAAACTTCTAAAATTCAATGTTAGTACTGGAATACAAAGCCAGTGAAAGCTCAGACCACAATTCAAAACAAGTAATAACAACAGAAGAAAAAATAAGACATATCTGATATTGTCCGCATCTCTCTAAGAAGAATTCTAGAAAGAGAATGAGAATACGCATGTAAACAAATTGTAAAAGTAATAACAGAAGATAATTTTCTTTAAGTGAAGGCCCATGTTTCCAACAATTTTGAGTTGTATTAAAAAGTGACAGATGATGAAAAGGATGGAGTTGAAAGAACTTTAATAAAGACACACCCTCATAGAAGTGAAGAAAATCATATTAAAATAACATTGTAAATGTTTGCAGGAATAATATGTACAGACAGGCAGCCCTCATTATTAATGAATTCCATATTTTCAAAATAACCTATTCACTGAAACTTATTTGTAACCCCCAAATGAATACTCATGGTATTTTCCTGGCTGTTCATGGCCATGCACAGAGTAGCAAAAAAATCTGAGTCACGATGCACACATTTCCAGCTCAGATGAAAAAGGTGATACACTGCCATCTTGTTTGGTCTCTCATACTATAAATGAGCATCCTTTGCTCAGTCTATTTAATGTCACAATTTTCAAATGTGCATGCTTTTTGTTGGTGATTACACTGTTTAAAATGGCTCTCAGGCACAGTGCTGAGGTACTGCCTAGTGTGCCTAAGTGTAAGAATTCAGTGATGTGCCTTATAGGAAAATATGCATATTTAGGTAAGGAATGAGTTATAGTGCTCTTGGCCATGAGTGTGATGTTAATGACTTAACAATATATATTAAATAAGGTGTCTTTAAATAAAAACACACATTTTAAAAAGGTTATGTATTGATTGATGAAAATTTTGTGACCAGAAGCTCACAGAAACCTAACCTTGTATTTCTTCTAGTTGCAACTTTTCCATAGTCACTAATTTAGTGTTTACAGTAACTTCATAGGCTGTAACTACTGCAAATAACAAACATTGACTGCATGTCACTTAAAAGGGACAGGCATTAGATCTTCTTTCTAAACATTTGATGAATCAAAATTTTAAAAACATAAATTTAGCTTGTACCTTGTATCTAGCTAAACTATTAAACAATTAGGCACCCAGAATAAAGATTTTATTTTTCATTAAGTAATTGAAGATATATATTAATTAAGTAAAAGAGACATACAAGATCCAGAAAAATGAAGAACAGAGGAATAATGAAAGTGATAAAATAATGTATGGGAGTCGCAAAATAGGCCTAGAAACAAATGTAAACCAAGAATAAAATTCTAAGCCCCTAGGCCTAGTGAATAGAACCCTCCTCTTGGCCAAAGAGATTGCAAGGAACCTGAAAAACCAGTTCGGGACGTAATAGGGAGTTGGGGGGTTAGACACACCTCACTGCCCTCTTCTCCCTTTGGAATTCAGATACAACTGATTAACATTAAAACAGAGATCTTAAGTCTAACAAAACAGACTCTTTGTAGCAATAAGATAAATTCCTATGTGACGCTAGTGTAGTATCACATGACAGCTAGCAAGCCTTGAAATAAATTGAAGTATTTTACCCCAAAATATATTTCTTTGACATATTTTGAAATGGCCCTGCAAAGCTGTCTCTTGTGGGGGAAATTTATATTCTTTAGAAAACCCCCTTCCCTTTCCAGGTCTTTTTGTGATGCTGAAGAGATTAGCTGTGAGTCTAACACCTTTTAAAGGTCTGAATAGGAAATATGTTGCCATCTATTTCCTCTAAGGGCTCCCATCTATGAGCATTCATCTATGTAATAAGAACCTTGGTCCTCATAATCCCTTATCTTAAGCCAGACACTCCTTTCTATTGATTCTATGTCCTTAGATAATAACAACTCTTTCAACCAATTGCCTTGGATCAGAAAATCCTTGCATCCACTTACAACCTGTAAGGTCCTTGTTTTTTTTGTGTTGTCTTTCTGGGCTAAATGAATGTATACCTTACATGTATTGGTTTATTTCTTTGCCTGTAACTTCCGTCTTCCTAAAATGCATAAAACCAAGCTAGAACCCAACCACTGTGGGCACGCGTTCTCAGGACCTCCTGAGGCTGTGTCATGGATCATGACACTTAACCTTGGCAAAGTAAACTTCCAAGTTGATTGAGATCTGTCTCAGGTACCTTTTGGTTTATACCGACTACTCAAAATTGGAGAAGGGAAGACAAACTCTGAAAATGGAAGGAAAAAATGAGATTTTTTTTTTTTTACCATATAACTCTATTTTCTCCTCTAGATCTATACCTCATCCTTTTTCACCTTACTTTTAGACTCACAAAGATGACCTGTATGAATTCCAACAATGAGCTACTTTGCCTGCTAGCTTTGGGTTGGATTCAGCTGAGGGAGTGAGGGGATTGGATATACGTAGGATAGTAAGGTAAACTTATCCCTTCTATTGGCTTTCTCCCAGCAAAATTACACCAGGCTAACTGTGCCCACAATCAAAGTTCAATATTGCTCTCAATTTGGCCTACTCTACAAAGAGATCTCCTTCTGGGTTCCAGTAGTCATTCTCTGCCATTGTTCTCATAGGCCCAGAGATAGTGAGGGTTCTGCTGTCATTATGCTGTGTTATCGCACTCTACTTTGCATCTCCATACATGCACTACTTGTAACATTGTAAATAAACACATCTCGAATTATCATAAATTAAATATGTCATCTGTTTTCTGTGACTGATACACTATACAGTACACAATAATATTGAGTAACAGAAAAGCCAGAGACAATAACAAATTCACCTTGGTCTTTTGCCCAGTAAGTATATAAGAGCATTTAAAAATGCTAGGGAAAAATAATATTATATGGTTAGTTTCTAAATATGAGGAATATTTAAAAGTGACAGGAACAGAAAATGTACTTAACCTTGATGCCGGGATACTGTTCTTCTATTAGTTTAGGGCTTGTAGAATTAAAGCCATAAAGAAATGTATAAATAAAAATTCTGTTCTACTAAGGAGTTCTTAAATGCATTACATAAAGAACTATATTAAGAAAGACATAATTTATTAGAACACACTTTATAGTAACCCACCTGACTTGGTTGTGATAGTAGATACTTGTTTTAACACTCTTCAATGAAAAAGTAAAATTTTATATGTTGGACATTGAGAAGCAGAACCAGTGGAGAAAAAGTTAAGGAATAATGCAGATATTTATATGTATGTGTGTATATAAATAAACTTACTAAATATAGGAATATAGATATTAAACTTATAGAGCTAATCGATATAATTTGTATTTCCAAATGTAAGTACATATTCACATTCAGAGTCAAACACATGGGAATGTATATTTCAAAATACAGATATTTTGAGGATAAGGGTCAGGGGAAAGAGAGGATAGTATAAGTGACCTAAGTTATATTGTATCATAAATGAAAGTCAATTGATAGTTGATAGTACACAAAGAAAAGAAAACATGGAACAGAAATTAATGTTTTATATAGATGTATATGTGTTCATATATTCTCAGATATATACACCAGATGAAGTTGAAAGTATATATTTATGGGTAAAACAATTTTTAAAAAATAATAATTTTTCTTCCTTGATGGGGACTGGATATTAGGAGTGTTTGGGACATTGTTGTGAGCTTTGCTGTTTAAAATAAGTTCTTTGTCCTCTTTAACATGTTAATATGGATCATCTGTCGCAATTTAAAAATAATGTGCTAAGGAGTCTTCTGCCTCTGTCCAAGTGAAGTAACAGAAAAAGCGAATTACCCTATTGCATGAAACAATTTTAAAAGTGGGAGAAAATAAGAAGGGAGGAGGCACAAATTACTGCTATTAAGAATGGCAAGGGTAGCATTTACTTTATAGAGATTATTAAAAACTTTATGAGATGGATAAATTCCTGGGAAGACACTAAGTAGCAAAGCTCAAGAAAATATAGGTAATATGGGTAGCACTATATTTAATAATGAATTTCAATCTTTAATTTAAAATCTTCTAGACAGAAAGTTTTAGCCTCAGGTGGGATCCCTTGGTTAATTCCACCAAATGTTTAAGGAAGAATCAATATGAAGAAGCAATACCATTTCCACCAGAAAAATACATTCCAACTGTGAGGTTGGAATTACTCTGATATGAATATCAGATAAAAACAATGTAATGAAAGAAATATACACTCCAGTGTTCCCAGTGAAAATATACAAATACTTTTAAAATTATGTCAAATCAAATCCAACAATTGTAAAAGGTATAATGCATCATCATTAAGTGTCTTTTATCCTTGGTTTGACATTTGAAAAACAAGTAATACAAGCAATATTCTTATCAATATTGATAGACTGAAATTTAAAAATAAAGATAATTAATTTGATCATCTTAATATGAACTAAAGAATATTTTCCAAAATTCAGTATCAAAATCAAAATTGCTGTTCTTGATTAGGAAAAAATGCTATCATCAAATTAAGCATAGAAATTAACTTACTCAACTTGATCAAGGGCATGAATGGAAAGCTAACAGTAAAAGAATACTTAATCATAAAATAAATGAATTCATCACCACTAAGATCAGGAAAAAGTCAAGGATGTCCAATCTCACCACTTCTAATCAAGATTGTTATACAGGATGTCCTAGGCTGTGCAATAAAGGAAGAGAAAAAAACTATTTTTATGTTTTTAGAATTTATATTTTAAGAATTTTTTGAGTTATAATTTAAATATTATCCAATTTATTTTTTTCTAGAAAAATTAGAATTATGAAACCAACATCACAATCCAATTTTAGAGTATTTTCATTATCCTAAAATATTTCTCAATTCAGTTTTTCTACGTATAGATTTGTCTTCTGGGGAAAGTTCATATAAATAAAATCATACGATATGTGGTCTTTTTGTTTTGCTTCTTTCATTTAGCATAAGATTTTTGTCATTCATCTATGTTATAGTATGTATAAGTACATCATTCTTTTTCATTACCTAATAATATTCCACCATAAGTAGGCTTTATGACTATTCTGAGTCCCTTGGAATTCCATATGATTTTTCTAATCACCTTGCCAATTACTATGAAGTTAGCTGGGATTTTGATAGGAATTGCACTGAATCTGTAGATCAATTTGGGGAGTATTGTATCTGAATAGCTGAACCATATTAAGTCTTCTGATACATAAATATAAAATATATTTGTTTATTTAAATCTTTGGTAATTTATTTCAGTAATATTTTGTAGTTTTGAAAGTATAATTTTTGCACTTTTTTCATACATTTATCTTTATGTACTTTATTCTTTTTGATGATGTATTTGTTCATTTTCTGATACTATAACAGAATACCACAGACTGGGTAATTTATTTTAAAAATGAATTAATTTCTCACAGTTCTAGAGGCTTGGGAGTCTAAAAGCACAGCACTGGCATCTGGTGAGGGTCATCTCATGGTGGAAGGCGAGAAGGTAAAAATGAGCATGTGAGAGAGAAAGCATGAGTGGTGTACTCCCTTTTATTACAACCCACTTTCACAAAAAATAAACCTCTCTGGGAATAATGACATTAATCCATTCATGAGGGTTTTGTTCTTATGACCCAATCACTTCCTATTAGGTTCCACCTCCCAAGACTGTTGCATTGGGGATTAAGTTTCCAACACATGAATTTAGGGGACACATTCAAATAACATTGCAGATGTCATTTTAAATGGAACTTTTTTTAAAATTTTATTTTTGGATTGTTCAGGTGTATAGGAAGGGTTGATTTTTGTATGTTAAACTTTTGCCTTGCTGAATGCCTTTTTAGTTTGAATAATTTTCTGATAAATTCATTAATTATTTTCTATGTTCAGTATTTGTCACCTGCAAATAAGGATAAACTTCTTCCTTTCCATTCTGATGCTTGCTTGCTTGCTTCCTTCTTTCCTTCCTTCCTTCTTTCCTCCCTCCCTCCCTCTTTCTTTATCTTTCTTTCCCTCCCTCCCTCCTTTCTTTCCTTTCTTTCCCTCCCTCCCTTTCTTTCTTTTCTCTTTCTTTCTTTTCTTTCTTTTTCTTTTCTTTCCTTCTTTCTTTTCTTTCTTTCTTTTCTTTTTCTTTCTTTCTTTCTCTTTCTTTCTCTCTCTGTCTCTTTCTTTCTCTCTTTCTTTCTTCCTTCCTTCCTTCTTTCTTTTCTTTCTTTCTTTCGTTTCTTTCTTCCAATTACCAATTTTTCTACACAGGACCTACAGCACACTGTTTAACTGATGTGGTGAGAGTGGACACTATTTTATTGTTCCTAATATTAAGGGAAAAACATCCAGTCATTTACCATTAAGTATGATGTTAGCTGTGGGTTTTTTAGATTCTCGTTATTAGGTTTGTGACATTTCCATCTACTGTTAGTTTTTTGAATATATTTTTCATGAAAGGGTGGTGGATTTTTTTAAATGGTTTTTCTGCACTTACTAAGATGATCATGCAATTTTTGGTTTCTATTCTATTTGTCTGATGCACCGTATTCATTAATTTCCACACATTGTTCATTCCTGGGATAAATACTACTTGTCAATGGTGTATAATTCTTTTTGTATGTCACTTGACTCAGCTTGCTACATTTTTGTTGAGGATTTTTGCGTTTTTATTTGTAAGAAATATTGATCCGTAGTTTACTTTTCTACTATGTCTGTGTCTAGTTCTGTCATTAGGGTAATGCTAGATTTGTCAAAAAAGTTAGGAAGTGCTCTCTCCTTTTCTAGTTTTTTAAAGTGTTTATAAGAATATGTATGAATTCTTTCTTGTTAGAACACACCATTGTAATCATGTTGGCCTGGGTTTTACCTTGTGTGTAGCATTTTGTTTACTAATTCAATCTCATCATTTGTTAGAAGTCTATTCAGATTGTCCATTTCTTCTTGAGATAGTTTTGAAGTTCGTGTATTTCTCTGAATTTGTTAATTTTATCTAGATTACCTAATTAGTTTGGTATATAATTATTAATCACATTCCTTTATAGCTCTTTTTATTTCTGTAAAATTGGTAGTAATGTTCCCTTTTTTATCTCTGATGCTAATAATTTGAGTCTTGTCTTTTTTATGGTTGATCTAGCTAAAACAATTTAGTTGTTTCAATCTTTCTAAAGAATGAGCTTTTGTTTATTGATTTTCTCTATTTTTTAAAAAAAAATCTGTTTCATTAATGTTTGCTGTACACTTTATCACTTTCTTCTTTCCACTTGCTTAAGTTTGGTTTGAGCTTATTTTTCCACTGGCTTAAGATGTTAGGCTATTTATTTCAGGGTTTCTTCTTTCTTAATCTAAACATTTATAGCTATAAATTTCCAAGTACAAACGTTTTTGTATGATTGTGATGTAGTTGCGTGTGTGTGTGTGTGTGTGTGTGTGTGTGTGTGTGTGTGTGTGTGTGTTTATCTTGACTCAGTTTTGAGGCCCTGGTTGTATGCCGGTCAGTTCCTCTTTTTGCCTGTGCTGATTAAGGCCACATCCCCAGCCACTTTCCGTATTGGTCTCTTACACTCTGGGCCACTATACATTGGCACTAATCACCTAGGGTTTGGTACCAGACACCTAGAAACTGCTGTAGACCCCAGAGTCCCCTGGAATTATTCACAACAGCCAATTCTAGGCCTGCTTACACTGCCTCACCCATGCCTTCCTGTGGAAACCACAAAAAAGGTGCTTGCCCATGGGTCGCCTCATCTTGGCTGACCCCAGTGCTTCCCCTGAGTGGCCCTACATGGCATACTGTGGTCTCCCTGAGAAGCTTATGAGTATAATGAAACTGCAAACATCTTTCTGGCTTACTTCTCTTCATCTGCATCCAGTCTTCTCAACCTCACCCAAGATAATATGGTTAAAACAACTGGAGAGGCAAACAGGGTGTTTTGGCCTCAGATGAAAGAGAAATACCTCTAGATGGTGTCTGGATTTACTGAGAGGTGGAGGCAGCCTGGGAGGCACTGCTGCCTGCTGGTAAGCTTGTGCTTGAACCACTGCCACTGTGCATGGTTTCACATTTTGCCATCATTTCCAATCCTAAACTGTGGATCTCATAAACTGTGTTCTCCTTGAGTTTCTACAACCTAAGCACGTGCCTGCCTCCTCTCTTAGTCACTGGTTCCTAAGCCTCCAGAAGTGAAGGTCCCATATCGACAACTTCATTCTTCAAAACCTCCCCAAAAAGGAGAGAAAAGGGGCTAACCCCCTTGGACCTTATGATACCCCCCAATCAGCTGAGTGGGCTGTGCCCCAAATAGCCAAGCATATCTGAATCAAATTCGAATTTCTTGTTGCCTGTTGTAGTGTAGCAACAGCAGACTGCTCACAGGTTGCCTGGAAGTACCAAGAGTTGCATGGAACTAGCATAGGAGCACCCTAACATGGGGTCCTTGAAAAAAATAGTGTGCTGTTGGGGCCGGTGGTTCCTCTGCTGTTGTTTACCTTGTATCTGATGGCTCTCCATCCCTATAGTCAGTGGTCTATCGGCACACACACCCATGGAAACTAGCAATTCAAAATTTTATGAAGCAGGAAAAGGAAAAAGATCATCTTACCCTTGCTCCCTGTTGGAAAATGTAAAATTCTAAGTCATTTTGCTCAGGCACTGCTTACTGTTGCAGCCTATCAACCACACTAAGAGCTCGTTATTGAGATCAAATGGCCTACAGGTTTTCTCTAGAAGACCTGGATGCTGACATTTACTTTTCCTAGGTTGACAGGGATGCCTTAGAATGAGAATCAGCAGCTTATGAATAGACTTATGGGGACTACCAGGAGTAAATGGTGAACATCGAAAGGATAAAAATGGTTTGGAGCAGACAAAATATTTTTAAATTGGACAAAATATTTGAATAAAATGAAAGAAGACATACTGATGGCAAAAATGTGTTCCACAAATCGTTAGTCATTAGGGAAATTTACATTAAAACCACAATGTTGTATCGTTATAGAGAATAGATTGACTAAGGAAAAAGTGCTGATAATACTTAGTGCAGGCAAGAAAGTGGAGTCACTGAAACTCACACATGTGACAGAAATATAAAATGATACAATCTCTTGAAAGGCTCTGTCAGTTTGATAGAATCAGGGGTCTGTCTACTCATGCTTCTCCATTTTTTAGGGTCCTCATGAAAGACATTGATATGGTTTGGCTGTGTCTTCTCCCAAATCTCACCCTGAATTGTAATAATCCCCATGTGTCAAGGGTGGGGCCAGGTGGAGATAATTGAATCATGGAGGTGGTTTCCCCCATACTGTTCTCCTGGTAGTGAATACATCTCAGGAGATCTGATGGTTTTATAAATGGGAGTTCCCTGCACAAGTTCTCTCTCCTGCCACCATGTAAGATGTTGGCCTCCACCATGTAAGATGAGGCCTCCCCAACCATGTGGAATTGTGAGTCAATTAAACCTCTTTCCTTTATAAATTACCCAGTTTTAGGTATGTTTTTATTAGCAGCATGAGAACAGAATAATACAGACTTCTTCCTTTCTACAGGTATCTGAGTTTGAAAACCATTGGCCTAAAGTCACTCAACACTTCGGGCAATGTTGGATGATCAAGGTAAGAGGTTATATTTGGGTATAGGCCAGGTTATAGCTAGCATTCTTGGATTGCTTTTTTTTTTCCTGAAACTTTCTGTGGGTTAAATATCTATCTATAACTGTGGCTATAGATATAACTTTTATGTGAATAATGTATGTGTTAGAGGTGAGGGGTATTTTTAGTATGCAATAAACAGATTGAAAGATAGGATTTTGGCTACACTTATGAGGATTAGTGCATTGAGTAATTACAGATGTCACAATGATTTAGAATGAGTACAAAAATCAATGTTAGGCAAACTATTCCTCTGTAAACATTAAAATTCTGCTTTGATGTGATAATAATCCTTAATTAAGATGTTTGTAATCAGCTTATTTAGTCATCTATAGTGAGCTAAGCTTAGCAAGGGCAACATGCAGCATGATTCACTGGGCTGTGAGAAAAACACTGTATTCGTACACTTTTTATTTAACTTAAAAATAATAAACACATTAAGTTAGGAAGCTTGCTGATAAAGATATGAGAGCTCCACAATCCAGAGCTGTTGATAACACCACCAGGACTCACTGACTTACTACTGCTGAATTGAAGCATAGTAAAGTATACATGTGCTTTGCAAGATATAATTATGGATTTTATTATCTAGTGTTGACCCTCAAAAAATAGAAAAGTGGTTTAAATAGATTCCTCCCATTGTGAAACACAAGAAAATGGCAGAGCTAATATGGGTAATGTGAAATGTTTGTAACCCATATTAAGTTGTAAACACAATGGCAATCAAAATGCCTGATAGCACATTGTCAAAAATTAAATTATGAAAGATATTATTTTACTATATAAATTCACATTTATTTTTAGTGTTGATGATCTTGCCTTGGTTTATATTTTGACTAGAGTTAGTATAAACATGCTGGAGATCACTAGCTCTGCATCAAAGACTAGTATTATTCTGTAGTTTAAATTGTTGCTGAGAATACATTATAAGCCAAGAAATAGATTTCCAAGCCCACTTTGCCAATAGAGTATTAGCAAAATTGATCTATGATCCTTTTTACCCAGGCCTATAAAAGTCTTTTCTTCCACCTATTGGATGCAGTCAATGTCTAGGGTGGCCATGAAAGTCTTGTGTTAGCCAGGGCTCCCACGTGAATAGAGTTCTTTCCTCTCCTAGCCCCTTTCCCAGTACAGTCTGATTTCATATGAACAATAAATAAACATCTATTTAGTAAGCCAATAAGATTTCAGGATTATCAATAACTTTTATATTCATTTTACCAAATATGTAGCTTGCATTAAATTATTTCATAATGACATGATAATTGGTATAAGTTTTAAAATATAAGCATCTAACACATGATAATAAATATGTATTTATTTTCAACAACATTTTAAGTCTAGATAATTCCTCCAATACTTGGCAAAATTTCCCTAAACAATAATAAATGTGAAGAAACATACAGGTAGAGTACATAGGAAATGGCAGCAAAGTGCCTTGTTTCTCTAGATACTATTAAACGGGCAGAGAAAAATTTCAAAAGTTTGAAAGAAATATGTTTAAAATAATACATAGTGTGAGAGGTTCCAGAGATGGATAAAAGTACAGATTCCTAACATGTCTTAGATTTTGGCATTTGATATTTTGTATTTCTAGAAAAGATACATAAGACAACTATTCTTGTCAGTCACTAAGAAAAAATATACCAGGAAAACCAAAAGCGTAACCATAAATTTTTTTCTACTTTTATGAGAATCAACAAAAAGACTTTAAAAAAACTTTCTTTTGAGAGATAAGGTTTATTTGCATCATTCGTAGGCAATCTTAAGCAGCAAGTATACATAAAGTACTAATGAACAAAATTCTACAAGAAAAGCTAATATTGTTTATTTGTTTTGATAAAAATAAAGCCTTCTTTTTAAGTAGGTGGAGAGTTACTCTGAAAATCTTTGTGCCAGGCAGGAGTTCACTGGTTACATTTCAAAATGTTCTTGAACTGGGCATTAATTTTTAAGATGTAAGTCACTTCATGTTATAAATTCATTGATTTTATTTTGTTTTGGGATAAGTAGCTATCAATAGTAAGATATATAGCAGATATTTTTTACACAATTAAGAATGATAATAATTAAAACTTATGTACTGTTACCTATGCTTCTGACACTGTTTAAAATTTTTTCCATCAATTTTATTCAATTAAATTTACACATAATACTGTGCACCAATGTTTGAGAGTATCAGCCTTTTAAATTTTTCCTGTTGTAGAGGATATGTACTAGTACTTGGTTGTGGTTTTAATTTATATTTCCCTGGCAATTAAAGATGTTAAGTATCTTTTTATATGTTTATTTGCCATTTGTTTATTTTGCTGTGCAATAAAATATTTTGTGAATTTTAAAAAATTAGCTAGTGTGCTTTCTTACCATTGAGTCTGTCGACCTAAAAGGAAGAGGCTGAGGCACAAAATATAATTTAAAGCATTTACTTGAGCCAAAGTGAGGACAAAGTAAATTTAAAGCATTTACTTGAGCTAAAGTGAGGACAGCTTTCCAGGGTCTCACACCCAAGTATCTTTAGATAAGAGCCGTGTTCAGCCTTTGTTACAAGGAGGTTTCTAAAGGACAAAATTGAGGACAAGGAGTGGGTTGATACAAAGTTGTTTATCGAGAATTCTCATTGGTTTACAGAAATAACATTGATTAGTGATTGGCTATACATTGTTAATCTAGGGGTGTGGGTTATAGTGTCTGGTGCCGCATTGGTAGGGTACTTTACAGCTACTGTGGCAATAGCAAAAGCAGTTTCAAGAGATGAATGCATAGCTGAAAAGCGGGGAAGTAGGACAGGGTTGCTGTCTCATTTTAATGCTTCTCTGGGATACTTTAAAAGAATTCACACTCTTCAGATAAAAGTTCCTTTCTTTTCTCAAGTTGTAAGAGTTCTTTATATTTTGTATACAAGCATTTTGTCAACTTTATACGATGCAAACATTTTCTCAAAGTCTATGGCTTATTCTTTCATGTTAATGGTTGACTGGAAAATGTTGATGAATTTCAGCTTATCATTTTCTTTTGGTACACACGATGCTGAACCACAGGTCATAAAGTTGTTCTTCCGGGCTAGAAGTTGTATAATTTAGCTTTTAAGTTTAGGTTCGTGAATCACTTTGAGTTTACTTTGTTTATGGTGTGAGAAATGCTTGAGGTTTTTTGTTTTTTGTTTCCAAATGGAAAATTATTTCAAAATGGATGAGACTTAAATGTGAAATATAACACTTATGAAACTTGTAGAAGAAACCATAAGAGAAAAATGTGTCACTTTCACATTGGAAATGAATTTTTGATACTTTGCCCAAAACATAAGGAAAATAATTTATGAACTTCATTTTACCAAAGCTTTTATCCTGTGATACATTGGTAGAGGATGAAAAGATAAATTTTGGCCTGATGGATTATATTTCTAAATCTCATATCCAATAAGGAACTTATATCTAGTATAAATAAAAAACACTTAAGCATCAATAAGATAGCATACAATCCAATAAAAAAGCAACATATCTGAACAGAAACTTTATTATGTAAGTTATATGAATGCCATATTAGCCATAAAATGATGTTCAATATTATTTATTGCTGGCGAAATGAAAATTTAAATGGTCATGAGATAACTGAGAATGGCAGAGTAAAGAATTTTGAAAATTTTTTCTCCCATCAAATCAATGAGAACATTGACAGAAACTGTAAAAATCAACTTTCTCAGAACGTTTAAAATTAACTGGAAATTAAAGCTAGAAAATATGTAGAAAGGATTTATTCAAGAAAAATAGCTGAATCTAGGTAAGAACAGCAAATTATATGGCAGTTTGACATTTTATTTCCACTCCCTTTTTGCAGCTCTGTGATAGCCTTGAAAACCAACAGCATGATGAAAAACAAGAAAATCTATTAGCCACTGGTGGAGGCTAAAGAGGTTTGGACACCTCAAAAACCACATTTCCAGAAAATTGTATTTGATCTATCAGTTCCTTGGAAAACTCCATTGAGATATTGCCCGGTGCTAATGTGTCCAGAATTGGTGGGTTCTTGGTCTCACTGACTTCAAGAATGAAGCAGTGGACCCTTGTGGTGAGTGTTACAGCTCTTAAGGTGGCGTGTCTGGAGTCTGTCCCTTCTGATGTTCAGATGTGTTCAGAGTTTCTTCCTTCTGGTGGGCTCGTGGTCTCGCTGGGCTCAGGAGTGAAGCCGCAGATCTTCGTGGTGAGTGTTACAGCTCATAAAAGCAGCGTGGACCCAAAGAGTGAGCAGTAGCAATATTTACTGCAAAGAGCAAAAGAACAAAGCTTCCACAGCGTGGAAGGGGACCCGAGCGGGTTGCCAATGCTGGCTCGGGCAGCCTGCTTTTATTCTCTTATCTAGCCCCATCCACATCCTGCTGATTGGTAGAGCCCAGTGGCCTGTTTTGTCAGGGCGCTGATTGGTGCGTTTACAATCCCTGAGCTAGATACAAAGGTTCTCCACGTCCCCATCAGATTAGTTAGATACAGAGTTTTGACACACAGGTTCTCCAAGGCCCCACCAGAGCAGCTAGATACAGAGCATCGATTGGTGCATTCATAAACCCTGAGCTAAACACAGGGTGCTGATTGGTGTGTTCACAAACCCTGAGCTAGATACGAGTGCCGATTGGTGTATTTACAATCCTTGAGCTAGACATAAGGGTTCTCCACGTCCTCACCAGGGCAGCCAGATACAGAGTGTCGATTGGTGCACTCACAAACCTTGAGCTAAACACAGGGTGCTGATTGGTGTATTTACAATCCCTGAGCTAGATATAAAGACTCTCCAGGTATCCTCACCAGAGCAGCTAGATACAGAGTGTTGATTGGTGCACTCACAAACCTTGAGCTAAACACAGGGTGCTGACTGGTGTATTTACAATCCCTGAGCTAGATATAAAGATTCTCCACGTCCTCACCAGAGCAGCTAGATACAGAGTGTCGACTGGTGCACTCACAAACCTTGAGCTAAACACAGGGTGCTGATTGGTGTATTTACAAACCTTGAGCTAGACATAAAGACTCTCCACATCCCCACCAGACTCAGGAGCCCAGCTGGCTTCACCTGGTGGATCCTACACCAGGGCTGCAGGTGGAGCTGCCTGCCAGTCCCGCGCCGTGCGCTCGCATTCCTCAGCCCTTGGGTGGTCGATGGGACTGGGCGCCGTGGAGCAGGGGGTGGTGCTCGTCGGGGAGGCTCGGGCCGCACAGGAGCCCATGGAGTGGGTGGGAGGCTCAGGCATGGCGGGCTGCAGGTCCCCAGCCCTGCCCTGTGGGAAGGCAGCTAAGGCCCGGCGACAAATCCAGCACAGCGCCGGTGGGCCAGCACTGCTGGGGGACTCAGTACACCCTCCGCAGCCACTGGCCCGGGTGCTAAGTCCCCCATTACCCGGGGCCAGCAGGGCTGGCTGGCTGCTCCGAGTGCGGGGCCCACGAAGCCCACACCCACCCAGAACTCCAGCTGGCCCGCAAGCGCCGCACACAGCCCTGGTTCCCGCTCGTGCCTCTCCCTCCACACCTCCCTGCAAGCTGAGGGAGTGGGCTCCGGCCTTGACCAGCCCAGAAAGGGGCTCCCACAGTGCAGTGGGGGACTGAAGGGCTCTTCAAATGCCACCAAAGTGGGAGCCCAGGCAGGGGAGGTGCCGAAAGCAGGCGAGGGCTCTGAGGACTGCCAGCACGCTGTCACCTCTCACTAACAGTCTTTTCCCGGGAGCATCTGTGTACAAATGAAGGAACTAACAATAACAACAAACAGTGATGAATTGTTCAACATTGTTGCTTGGTGAGGTAGCAATAACAGTTGCAGTGAATAACAAGTTGGCCAAAAAACTAAAAAGGAAAAGCTGGAAATGAGATATCCATAGGGTCTTTGAAAAGCTCTGGCATATTTCTGGAATTAGAAGGTCACATTTATGTATAGTAGTGTTCGTCTCATCAGGGATGTGGAATACCAGGAAAGACCTGAGTATGTATGTCCTCAGTTCTCACCTCTGGCTGATCTTGAAGCTCTGCACAAGCAGCACATGAAGGTGAAAGCAGAGCTGTAAACTTGCTGCCTGAGCGTAGAGAGTGTGCACCAAAATGTGATGCAAAGACTCGTAGTAAAAGTTTGCAGACTTACTGGTTCCAGGCATTTAAGGAAATCCCTGTTCGATCATTAGCCCAGTACTAAGATAATTGGGTAGAGACTGCGGGAGCCACACAAAACAAAGAATGCAAACTTATAGAATTAGTTCAAGAAAAGTCACTAAACAAGCAAACAAAAACAGCAAAAACCCTTGGTGGAGAAGGAATCTAATTTTCAGAGTATTATATTATAGTATAGTATAGTATAGTATAGTATAGTATAGTATAGTATAGTATAGTATATTATTTTTTCTGAGTTGGAGTCTTGCTCCATTGCCCAGGCTGAAGTGCAGTGGCACCGTCTCGGCTTACTGCAAACTACACCTCCCAGGTTCAAGTGATTCTCATGCCTCAGCCTCTTGAGTAGTTAGGATTATAGTACCCACCACCACACCTGGCTAATTTTTCTATTTTTTAAATATTTATGTATTTATTTATTTTTGAGACAGGGTCTCATTTTGTTGCCCAGGATGGAGTGCAGTGGTGCAATCTCATCTCAGTGCAATGTCTGCCTCCGAAGCTCAAGTGATTCTCCCACTTCAGCCTCCCAAGTAGCTGGGATTACAGTCACGAGCCACCAGCCCGGTTAATGTTTGTATTTTTAGTAGAGACAGGGTTTTGCTGTGTTGGCCAGGCTGGTCTCCAACTCCTGACCTCAGGTCATCCTTTTGCCTTGGCCTCTCAAAGTGCTGGGATTACAAGCATGAGCCACCATGCCCAGTCTAATTCTTGCATTTTTAGTAGACGGGGTTTCAACATGTTAGCCAGGCTAATCTTGAACTCCTTACCTCAAGTGATCCTCCCTCAGCCTCCCAAAGTGCTGGGATTATAGGCGTGAACCACCACACTGGCTTATATTATTTTAAATGTCCAATGTTTAATAAAAATTATATACATGCAAAGAAACAAGAAAGTATGTCTTATACACAGGGGAAAACAGCAGTCAATAGAAATTGTTAATGAGATCACCCAGATATTGGATTTAGAAAAATACATGTAAATCAACGATTTCAAATTTGTCTGTATTAATTTTCTAGGGCAACTGTAAAGAATACCACCAACTGGGTAACTTAAATGACAGAAGTTCATTGTCTCATAGTTCTGGAGACTAGATGTCTGAAATCAAGGGATTGGCAGGGTTGGTCCCTTGCTAAAGGCTGTCATGGTAGGATCTGTTCTTGGTTTGTAGATGGCTGTCTTCTCCTTTGGTCAAAATTTCCTCTTTTTATAAGAACATAAGCCACACATTTAAGGTATACAACTTGATCTTTTGATGTGTATATACATTGTGGAATGATCACTACAGTCAAGAAATTAATATATCCATCAAGTCATGTAAGTAAATTTTTTGTTTTGTTTTGCTTAATAAGATGTACCTGTAATGTCTGTTCATAATTTTATGTTGCCTCAATATCATTTAAATATATAGGTTTAACATTCTCATGCCAGAAGCAGGGTTCAGTTACCCCTGACACAGCTTCCAATATTATATCCCACCCAAATGTCTCCGGCCGGTGGCTAGAGATAAAAAATTAAAGGCATCTCTCCTGCCAGGCAAGCTGGACTCCTTGTTTTCCCTCTGATTTCTTTAAATGGACAGTTTAGATATTTTCCCATGAACTTGAAATGACAACCTCTCAGTCACAGAATGGGCTCCTGCCTCCCAAGGGGATGGGATTACAGGTGTGAGCCAATGCCCCAGCCTTGAATATGTTTATTAAAGATGTTCATTCGACTTGTCCCAAATCATTTACGTAAGTGGAGATGTTATGTGAACCCAGGCCACTTGTGTCCTAAATCCATGCCTTTAATCTCCTTCTGGAGAACTCATAGATATCAATGTTCCTTTGCAGCCTTCCTTGTTGTGTATGTTTCTGTGTATGTTTGTGTGTTGCGGGGGGGCAGGGAGTGAAGGGTGTTTAATTTTAATTTAGATGAGATTATGGTTTTCTCAACTTTTTAGCAATTTATCATGGATTATTTTTACCTAAATACCTCTTTCAATTTTACAGATGTAAATATATTCATTTAATTCTGCATCAAAATAATTATATGTAAAATAAAATACCAGGAAAAAACCTAAAGACTTGAAGTAGGAAATAAAATTCATTGAATTCTTTCATTAAATGCTTATTTAAATGAATTATGATGTTCTACTTTTCAAAACACCAAATCCAGCAATTCAATTTCTGGCCTCTAAAACTTATCATCTAAGGTTTCTTTCTAAATATACATTGAAAATAGTGTTGATTTTAGGGAGTCATTTTTCTCCTCTACAGCAATGATTCAGTGAATAATTTTAGCAGAATATTTTCCTACTTTTATCTTCATAAGTAAAATAGAAAATCAGCTTGTTCATACATTCTGCTTATGAGAGTTTTAGAAAATCTTAATGCTACAGACACCACAAATATGTAGACAGATCTCTTGCCTCTTCACCTTTTTCCTCCCCATTTTCCCCTTTTTCTTGAAAATTACAGCTTGCCTTGGACTGTACCAGCTGGTGCCACTTGGGATAATAAAACAGCATGAGCTTCAGTGTGATAATTTATTACATTTATGTCATGAGTTTTTTGGTACTATAGTTAGCCTACCAGAGCCTCAGTTTTTCTTGTCTGCTTTAATTTGTAAATTGGTCATTAATACCTGCTTTATATGGTTATTAGGGACAATAAGGAGACAGTTAAAGCACTAGTTAAGAGCCTGGCACATGACTGGTTTTTCTTTAAGTTTGTCCCTGTCTTCTTTCTTCTCAGTTTGTCTTCTTCCATTATAGCATAAGATGATCCATTATAGCCACTTCTTCATAACAGCTTCTTAATTAACAGTTCATATTTTTTAATAAAGCAAATAGTGGTTTTATTCCATTAAAAAGGGCAACTTTGAGAGGTAAAGTCAGCTGGACTTCCTAGGTCGAGTGCGGACTTGGAGAACTTTTCTGTCTTACAAGAGGATTGTAAAATGCACCAGTCAGTGCTCTGTAGCTAGGAAGAAGATTGTAAAATGCACCAATCAGTGCTCTGTAAAAACACACCAATCAGAGCTTTGTAGCTAGCATGAGGATTGTAAAATGCACCAGTCAGTGCTCTGTAAAACGCACCAATCAGCACTCTGTAAAATGCACAAATCAGCACTCTGTAAAACGCACCAATCAGCAGGATCCTAAAAGTAGCCAATCACAGGGAGGATTGAAAAAAGGGCACTCTGATAGGACAAAAACAGAACAAGGGGTGGGGACAAATAAGGAAATAAAAGCTGGCCTCCCCAGCCAGCAGTGGCAATCCACTGGGTTCCCCTTCCAGGCCGTGGAAGCTTTGTTCTTTTGCTCTTTACAATAAATCCTGCTACTGCTCACTTTTTGGGTCCATGCCATCTTTAAGAGCTGTAACACTCACCAGGGAAGGTCTGCTCCATTCTTGAAGTCTGCGAGACCACCAAGCCACCAGCAGGAACCAACTCTGGACACAGTTTGTTTAGCTAACTGGTTATTAATTTATTTATGTATATATTTGCAAACTGGAGTTACATACCAAATGCCAAATTTTGTAATAGTAAAGCAATTAAGTAACTCTACTTAGTCAGTGACATGTAGGCAGTTAACCTCTGAATTCATTAAACTTATAAAAGAAAATAGCATTCCAGTTAACAGCTATAGGACCATGAGAAGAAAAAGTGAAAACTTAAAACATGACAGATTATGGTAAAATAATTCAAAAAGCAGGTACAGTTTTAGTTTTATAAAGTTGTGTACCATGGCTTCAGCGAAGTTCACAGGTAGAGTGAGAAAGTTATAAAAATGTTAATTTGTTTCAGTCAAAACAAATATAAAATGAAGAGAAACATTTGTGAACAACTAAAGTGTTTAATACTACCTATAGAACAATAAAACGTGATGTCAACAGGTGGTAACCATGAGTATTTTCTGAATAGGAATGCTCATAAATCTGAGAACCATCAGATTTATGTACATATATTCCATACATTTTCTTTATAGTTGATACTTTTGATTTTATGTAAATCACTGGAGATAAACCCACAACCTAGACACCTCGGGATTTTTTTTTTTCCTTTTCTACGTCAGAATGAGAAAGGAGATTTTAAGGGGAGTAGAGAGGGAAAGAGAAGTGGTTGTTACTTAGAAGATCTTAAATAAATTTTATTAGTGTTGAAGAATGTTTACCTTGATTTGTGTGTGTGTGTGTGTGCACGTGGCTGGCTCTGTGAATCCATAAAAGAATAGATATCAACTTAGATTCCAAGTTGCCTCCAACTACTCATTCTACCACTTACAAGCCATGTGACCTTGGGCAAATTAATTTATTTGATCTTTAATTAAGTCACCTGTAAAATGGAAAATGCATTGGCACCTACCCCATAAGATTAAATTTTTACACGGGTAAACTGCTTAGAACAACAAATATGCTATAATAATTAATATGGTTTGGCTCTGTGTCCCCAACTAAATCTCACATTGAATTGTGATCCTGAGTTTTGGAGGTGGGGCCTGGTGGGAGGTGATTGAATCATGGGAGTTGTTTCTAACGGATTAGCACCATCCCCCCAGTGCTGTCTCCTAATAGAGTTCTCACAAGATCTGGTTGTTTAATGGTGTGTAGCACCTCCCCCGCTTTTTCTCTCTCTCTCCTGCTGGCCGTGTAAGATGTTCTTGTTTCCCCTTGCCTTCCCCCTGAAGCATCTCCAGCCATGCCTACTGCATAGCCTGTGGAAATGTGCGTCAATTAAACCTCTTTTCTTTATAAATAGTCTCAGGTAATTCTTTATATCAATGTGAGAATGGACTAATACAATAATTATTCAGATATATTAATATATTGGTTTTGTGATGATTATTATTTCTCATGCTTCTCTATCCTGTGCATCATCTTTTCAAATTCCTATTGAATATTTATATCAACAACATGAACACTTTAACCATTGCATTTAACCTAGAAATCTTACTTAGGTATATTATTCTACACAAAGCCATCATTCTTGAGGAGGTATGTATAAGGTATTATATTACATAAAGAATAATCAAACAGTTGCCAATTGGAAAATGAATAGATATATTGTTGTCAATTCATATTGTGAAATTTTAAAAATAAATGGCTACGTTTCTGTATTGACTCAGAAATGTCTGGATATACTGCAGTAACAAATAATCCCCAAATCTCCTTTTCTGAAAAATATTGATCACTCAATAGACGCAGAAAAAGTATTTGATAAAATTTAATATGTCTTCATAAAAACTTTCAACAGAGTAGGTATAGAAGGAATGTACCTCAATATACTAAGGCTATACATGACAGAACCACAGCTTACATCATACTGAATTGAGAATAGCTGAAACCTTTCTCTCTAAGATCTAGAAAAAGAAAAAATTGAGTAAAGTTGCAGGATACAAAATAAACAACAAAAATGAGTAGTTTCCATCCACTAAGAGTGAGTTTCCTGAAAAAGAAATCAAGAAAGCAATCCCTTTTACAATAGCTACAATAAAATACTTAGATATAAATTTAACCCAGATGGTGAAAGATTTCTACAATGATCACTAGGAAACATTGATGAAAGAAATTGAAGATGACTCAAAAGAGTGGAAGGTACTCATGTTCATAGATTAGAAGAATTAATATTGTTCAAATGTTCATACTACCCAAGTGATCTACAGATTCAATGTCACTGCCATACTGCCATACAAGTAGATACATAGATGCATAGGATGGAATAGAAAGCCCAGAAATAAGCTCATACATCTACAGCCAACAGATACGTAACAAAAGTCCGCATACACACAATGGGGGAAATAACAGCTTTGTCATTAAATGGTGCTGAAGAAACTGGATGTCCACATGCAAAAGAATGAAACTAGAGTCTTAATCACTCATCATATACAAAAATTAACTAAACATTGGTTAAATACTTAAATTTAAGATTTAAAACTGTGAACTACTTCAGAAAACATAGGTAACAAAGGGAAAAAGCTTTTTGTCATTAGTCTAGATGAGAGGTTTTCAGATAAAACCTCAAGAGCACAGGCAACAAAAACCAATATAGATAAATGGGCTTACATCAAACTAAAAACTTCTTAACAGCAAAGAGCCAACCTACAAAATGAGAGAATATATTTGCAAACTATACATCTGATAAGAGATTTATATCCAAAATATATAAGCACTCAAAAAACTCAACAATAAAGATACAAATAATCCAATTTAAAAATGGACAAAAGAAGACCTGAATAGACATTTCTCAAAAGAAGACATACAAATGGCCAAATGTATATTAATAAATGTTCAGCATTGCTAATCATCAGAGAAATACAAATCAAAACTACAGTGACATATCATCTCACTCAAGTCAGAATGACTGCTATCAAAAAATCAAAAGATAACAAGTGTTGGTGAAGGTGCTGAGAAAAGGGATATCTTACACACTGGTGGTGGTAACATAAATTAGTACAGCCAATTATATGGAAGTTCCTCATAAAATTAAAACAGAGCTACCAAATGATCTAGGAATCTCACTACTGGATATATATACAAAAGAAATGAAATAAGTTTGTTGACAAAATACCTGGATTCCCATATTCATTGCACTGTTATTCACAATAGACAAATATGAAATAAATCTAAATGTTCATCAATGGATGAATGGTTAAGGAAAATGTGGTATATATGCCCAATGGAATACTACTGAACCATAAAAAGAATGAAATCCTGTCATTTGTAGCAACATGAATGAACACGGGGGGTATTATGTTAAGTGAAACAATCCAGGCACAGAAAAACAAATGCTGCATAATCTCACTCACATGTGGAATTTAGAACGTTATTCTCATAGAAATAGAGAGTAGAATAATCGTGCCAGAGGATGGGGAGTGTGGTGGGGGCAACTGGGGAGAGACTGGTTAATAGGTACAAAGCCACAGTTAGATAAGAAGAATAAATTCTGGTGTTCTATTGCATAGCAGGCGACTAGAGTTAACAACATATTTCAAAATAGCTGGAGGAAAGGTTTTTGAATGTTCTCATCACAAAGAAATGATAAATGTTTAAGGAGATGAATTTGCTAACTACTCCTTTATGATCATTACATAATGTATACATGTATTGAAACATTACATTGTACCCTATGGATATGTACAATTATTTCACGTCAATCATTAAAAAAGAATCAAAGTGAAGGTTAAATGAAAACTTTTAAAAATGTTTACTGTATGGCCTGGGTTTAAATTTATTTTAAGAACATTATATGGACTTATGTGCAATATAAAATGTATTAAACAGAAATAGGGTTTGAGTGGGCCTTAATTTTTGAGAGTGTCTCTGAACTTACCCTGCCCACTTTGGCACCAAGTTGTATCCAATTTTTGGTAATGTCCTTCAAATTCACCTAATTCTTAGAATTTTCTAAATTTGATGTTAGAGTCCATGCTTTATAAAAAATAAAAGGATTAATTGAGACTGACTATGGAATGAGAATTGCATAAGTGATTCTGTACATTAGATTTAAACATATTCTCTATATGGATTCCATGGTATACATTCATACTTATACCTAAAGAAATCCACACCAAATACAGTGGAGGCAAAAGGCTAGTCCTACCTTGTGGTCTAAAACATGGAAATGCTTCAAACTAGCAGTTCCACTTAAATGGAGTTGAAAGACATAAAAAGGCAACGTGGGCATCTAATTGGATGGGATTAACCCCAGGCTGTGGAGAATGCAAATTGCTTGCAGCAATATATTGAATTTTTAAAACAGCAAAGTGGGATCATGGCAGGAGATGGGTTTGTAAGGAAGGCTAAATAATAGAAGCAATTTAAATACCACAATCAGTTTAATGTTTGTACTTCTTTGCTTATGAAATAAATATACAATTTACTGTAACCTCATTATTATCATTCTTTATAAGATATTTTGTTTCATTCTGTTATACAGATTTTTACAATACATTAGCATTTTTAAATAAAGCATTATCAATGGTACACCTTTAAAGTTCTTTTTTCATTCACTCATTTATTCACTCAACAAAATATTCAGTGCAGATTATTAATTAAAAAAGCAGAGTTCCATTCTTTTTAGTTTCATGGTGTTCTTTATCTCCATGGATAATATATTATCAGTGGGCCTTCTTTGGCCTCCCAAAATGCTGGGATTACAGGCAGGAGTCACCACACCTACCTGATAATTTTTGTTATGAGTTATAGGAAATAACCTCTTTCTTTACCTCTTGTAAGAGGTAATCTTTCTCTACAAAAATGCTTCAAGTTAAAATTTATAACTTATTTCTGATTGGGTAGTCATAACCATAAAGTCCTGGAATCCACTTATGTTGGATTTCATGCAGTACCTTATAGAATAATGTAAAAAATGGTGTCAATTATCTCCCAGGGTAATTTTTGTATTTCTATACTATTTTACTTAAAAATTTATATCACCTCACTGATTCCTTACGGATGGTGTTATGGAGTGACTTTTGTCACCTCAAATTCATATTTGGAACTCCTAATCCCCAGAACCTCAGACTGTCACAATGTTTGGAGAGAGGGTCTTAAAAGAGGTAATTAAGATTAAATAAAGTCATGTGGACCGCCTTAGTCAAATCTGACTGGTGTTCTACCAAGAAGAGGAGATTTGGACACACAAGAAGAGATACCAGGGACACATGGATGTGGACAAAAACCATGAGAAGACATAATGAGGAGGCGGTTGTCTACAGGCCAAGAAGGGAGGCATCAGAGGAAACCTTAATCTTCAGAACTGTGAGAAAATACATTGGGTTTTCTCAATGGGTTGAGGTGAGGTTGTTCAAGCCACTCAGTCTGTGGTTTTTCTCAGTGCAGCTCTAATAACTGAATATTGATGGGTATGTAAAGACTTTTAGCCAAAACAAACAAACACATAGCACAAAGCACTGCTTTCTTATTATGTAATTAATTAAGTTCAGTAAAGTGTAAGACAAAGTTAGATTTTCTACAATGAACATGAGCTTGTTCCACATAACAAATTACACATTTGAAGGGACCTGGAAAGGAATAGATTGGTGACCACAAGGAAAACGAAAATTAGGGCAGGTCAAAACCAGCAACACCACAACATTAACCAGAAAATCTTGGAAACCATGAAAAGAAAGTGGTTGCTCAGGGCGAACTTTCCATTACACTGGAATTTTTGACTACATTTAAGGGCAAAACATAGGTTGGCGGGTTTTTTGGGTTCTTTTCCTAAAAACATGCTGAGGAACTCTTACTTTTGGAAATAAAGTGGCTGCAATGGGAGCTACAACAAAAGCTCATTTTGAGAATACTAAAACATTGCTAAAATATTCAACTTATTTTGCTATTGTTCAGTGAAGTGTTTCAAACTTTCCTACTGAGCACTTCATGTTCAATCCCTAATGCAAATAGATTCAGTTCCAATTCATTTCATCCCCATGTTTTACTTATTTGTATCCTACTGAGTGATTTTTGATGCCAGATATTCTCTTCTTCTCCTACATTTTGTATTTTATCTTTTCAATTTCCCACTGAGGAGTTTGCTAGATATCCTGTCTAGCAATAAGTTACATTTAAATAAGTACTATATTTTTGGAATTCTAATGGTCAGTGACCATTCAGCTGAAAAGATAAAAAATTCTCTTTAAGATATGCATAAAGGAGTTATAAATGTGATAGATTAATTCTGACCTTTTAATAGGATTGATTACACTATTTTTTAAAACAATCCCTTAAAATCTCTGAATGTTGATTGCTGCTCATAGGAGAAAGTTGTGTTCTTCATGAGCACTACCAGATATCTATTGGTAATTAATACTGGATTCTCATTAATGATACACAAAAGAATACATTTTGAAAGTTATTTGAAAAATCTAATCAGTTGAAGCTTTTTTCCATGTAGGAATTAGACTGAGAAAATCCTCTTTCATTCACTCGTATCAAAAGTGGTAGATATCTGAATGCCGGCCTAGTGGTTTTGCATTTCTCTGTGCTTTCTGTTAAACTAAGTTCTAAGAAGGCTTTCAGTCACAACTTATTGTTTCGTTGGAAATCTTTAGACAACAGAAGAAAAGCAAAGCAATGTATTTAAAGAACAAAAAAGATGAAATTAGGTGGTGAACTTTTGAGGAAATATTAGTAGAGAGGATAAATTTCTTGTTACCTGGGAAGCAATGCTTTCTTCATTAAACTTACACCCATAATAAAAATACAATCTGTTTACTATTATTATTGTAATATGTATTTCCTAGGCAACATTGAACTAGAGCTACAAATAGGATCACAGCAATAGCCTTAGATAGTGTCACTCTAGTTTTGCTTTTCTTCACTTTTGTAGGAATTTTACCATCCCTTTAAATGACACCTTCAAAGTTTTCTTTCTACAATTATTGCTCAAAATATGCTATCACATTTTAATTTATTTTATGTTTAAGAAAGAAATTTCTTATTCAGTAGGCAGGAGAGTGCATTTTAAAGACATTGTAGTTAATACAGCATGTGACAGCTTATGTCAATGACCAAAGAAGATCAATGATGCAATAGAATGGGAAGACTGATTTTGTAGACAAGCCTATCAAAAAAATGGCTGAACAAGAATTCTTGGAGAAAAGATAGACATGAGTGACAAGAAGCAATTATAAATATATTGGTATATATTCTGACTGGTAGATGTGGTCTTAGGTACTAATGGAAATTATCTTCTAATTGTTCAAATTTTCCTTCAGGGAAACCAAAGCCATGTTCTTTAGAGATGAGAGACTATGTCAAAGGAAGTGATATAAGGTTGAGGAGAAAGGAAAACATGCAAAGTAGTTGAGTGTGGGGATTGAATCAATTGGGGAGCTGAGATCTGATTATCCAGTGCCATGAAAGGTCCACATCATAAATTTAGAGTCCATTCAGCATGGTTAAATGTTTTAGTCTAGAACTATTCAGTTGCAAGACAACAGACATAGTGCAGGTGAAATGTGGATATTTGTTACGGGGGTATGACAAAGAGAGTCAGAAGATTTGAGGATGTTTGCATGAGAGGGAGTCACCAGGCAATAAAAGCTAAAAAAGGAAAGAGAGGATGTAAGAAAAAAGAAGGCAGTGAAAGGGTGGTAAATCAGCAAGAAGAGTTGATTCGTTTATGAAAGTGTCGCCTTTATTGGTAATGACAAAGTCTAAGAAGATATGACCATGGGAGTGACTCGTGAGGCCAGATGCATAGAGTCATGATTGCAGGAGAGGCCAGGTTGTAGAAAGGATTGTCTATATCAGGATTTCTCAATGTGAACACTATTCACATTTTGGGCTGGATAATCGTTTGTTGTGGGATTTTGTCCTGTGCTTTGCAGAATGTTTAGCAGAGTCCCTGACCTCTGTTCACTAGATGTTAATAGCATCACACCCCATGCCCCAGTTGTGACAGCTTAAAATATCTCTAAACATGGCCAAATGTCTCTGGGGCGGCGGGGGAGGGGGGCAACTCATTCCCAGTAAAGAACACCATTAGATATACATGCATATCACCCCAAAATGAAAATTGAAAATCACTAAGAATGAAAATAGGAGTGATGTCAGAGAGTGACAGTAAGTCAGAGTCCAAAATTTAAAATGAAGATGGTACTGTTGGATCACATGAGATTTAAATCAGGAATGTTGAGAATGGTGAATAAGAAGGGAGAGAGTGGTCTGGATGTGTGGAAATGAAAACCTCAGTTCCAGGACAAGAGATAAGAGGATACTGAAAGAGAAAAGAGCAATTGCTAAAGATACTCTTGAAAGAAAGGGCTGCAAGGGAATCTCTATATACAGACGAGAGTCAGATTTAGTAAGAGAAGAAGAAAAGAAAATATGCAAAGAGAAGGTGAAGGCTATGGAAGATTTTACTGATGATGAAAATAGAGTATCAGAAATGTGCAGTATTAGGGTTCAGGAATCAGTTAGGGGTGAGGGACAGAAAATAAAATAGTGTGTATAGGGGTTTATGAGAATTAGGGCTCTAGAAGAGGAGAGAAGTGACCTGGAAGGTTTTGTAGTCAAGGTGT
Source organism: Homo sapiens (assembly GCF_000001405.40). Taxonomy (NCBI): domain Eukaryota; kingdom Metazoa; phylum Chordata; class Mammalia; order Primates; family Hominidae; genus Homo; species Homo sapiens. Next base: position 81,277,945 of record NC_000010.11, read on the forward strand.
GCAAGGATTTCTTTTAGATAAATTAACCACTAGTTTAAAGAAAACGTTTTGTCTTTGTTAATGATTCTTCTCCCTCTCCTTGTAACTAAAGGATCCCCTGTATCAAGTGCTGCTGATCCCCAGGGGGTGAATGGTCTTGTACCAAAGATATGTTTAACAGGTAACTTTCCATGTGAAACAGAAAGAGGACAGGTCCTCTATTGACTTGACAGGGCGGGGGAATTCAAATTCTTTTACAGCAGTTACATTGGAAGGGAGTGTGTGTGTGTGTGTGTGTGTGTGTGTTTCTCTAGAGACCAAATTGAAATTGTGTAAGGATGAAAGACATAAATTAAAGATAGGAAGGGGGACGGAAAAGTATAAAATTCATTATGGGATAAGTAAAACAGGACAGAAAATTAAATAACTTGTTGGATATTTGCTAATATATAAATAGCAAATCTATGCTAAAGAATTTTAGTGATACATGAACATATTCTCTTTTAAAGAGTGGTAAATAAATTTGAAGAATAAGCAAAGCAACTTAAGGCAATGCTACAATGAACCTGTGTGCATCATGTGCCCAAATGGCATAATAACTATGAACAATACAGTTCTTTTCCGATTTATTTATGTGTAGGAATACGTTTCCAGAAATCAATGATTGAAAAGTTATAATTTGACAAAATGATTTATAGTTCATATGAAAGAGAAACAGGCTAAAATTTTTGAGGAAAAATAAAGGTAGAGATTACTACACTTTCAGATATTAAAATATATATGTAGAACAACTAAACCAGTGTGCTTTAATAGGCCAGTTGAGTGGGTTTTCTAAAAATAGATCACAGACTATCCCAAAGATATAAAGTAATGGGATGTGGTATAAGGATAGACATAGAGATCAATGAAATATAACTGACATAAAATCAATGCAATGGAATGATATTTACCCAGAAATAAACCTGTATATTTGTAGTTAATTGGTCTTTTGGCAAAGGTGCCAAGGTGACTAAATGCAGAAAGAAGAGTCTTTTCAGCAAATAACTCTGGGACAAGTGGATAATCACAAGAATGAAAATGTACCCCTTTTTAAATGCCATATCCAAGAATTAACTCAAAATAAATCAGAGATATAAATGTAAGAGCTAAACCTATAAAGCTCTTAGAATAAAAGATAGGAGTAAATTTTCATGACCAATTTTCAATGGTTCTTTAGATATTACATCAAAATCATAAGCAACAAAAGAAAAATTAGATAAACTGGATTGCATCAAAATTAAAAACTTTTGTGCTTCAAAGGATACCAGCAAGGGAGTGAAAAGACAACACACAGAATTGGAGAAAATATTTGCAAATCGTATATCTGATAAAGGACTAGTATTTAGAAAACAAACAACTAGATAATATAAGACAAATATCCTATTAAAAATGAGGAAAGGATCTAAATATCCAAAGAAGATAGACAAATGGTCAGTAAATGCATAAAAGGTGCTCAACATTGTTAGTTGTTAGGAAATGAAAAATCAAAAACAGGAGCTACCACTTCACATTCATTAGGAAGGCTGCAGTTAAAAAAAAAAAGAGATAATAGCAAATATTGATGAGAATGTGAATACGTTGGAACTCTCATTAATTGTTGGTTGAAATACACTGGGGCAGCCACTTTGGAAAATAGCTTGGCAGTCCTTAAAATAATTAAACATAGAGTTACCATATGACCCAGCAATTCCACTCCTAAGCATACATGCAAGAGAAATGAAAGTATGTGTACACAAAAACTTGTACCTAATATTCACAGAAGCATTATTCGTAACAGTTAAAAAGTAGAAACAACCCAAATGTCTATACACTGATGAATGGGTAACATAAGAATGTAATATAGAATTATTTATAATAAAGAAGAATAAAGTAGTGATGAATGCTATATGCTAACATGAATAAACTTTGAAAATATTTGTGTAATTATGTAGTGAGCATATTATTTCTCTAATAGTAGCTATGTTTCCTGACTCCACCTCACAGATTGAACGGTACTGCCCAAAACACAGGAAATGTTGTTCCCTACTGCATTGTTGAATGGCCACGCTGACTCTGAACTCTTGTTGCCTCACACTTCAGTGAAAGAAATAATCACTGCTGAAGGTAATCTCCTAACTATAAATCCAGTTTGTTTTCAGTTTTTAAAACTGCTTTATATGTGATTCAAAATAATGGATTTTTAAAAGTCAAACTTAAGATTCTATTCATGTTTCTCAGGAAAATCCTATTACTTGTTTTTTAAGTTTTGTTTTATACTTAGAAATGTTAACTTTTGTCCTTAATTTACAGAAAGGATATTTTAAAATATTATATTGTATATATGGATTGCCAAGTCATCATTGTAATTTTTTCTTTATATGTGTTATATATTCGGAATTAAAATTGCTAATCACATAAAAATTTATACATCATTTAAAATAAACAATGGGAGTGGAAGTCCATTAATCCCGTCTTTACAACAAGGAAACACTTGACAAACTGAAAGTCAGTAACTTTTCTTGGACCCTTCAGAGAACTGATGTCAAAAGGCTAATGGCCGACCTGAAAGATGGAGAGAAACTCACTCAGAGTAACACAACTGAGATCTTCTTACCTAGAACAGAAGCCAAGAAGCCAAAAATAAGTAGGGACACATATATGATCACTCTGGCAAGTTACTGGAGGCCAAGTGTGCGGACCAGCCTGAGAAAGTCCTGGGAGCTACAGTCCCAGGAGGCTTCTTCTTTTGTGGTCGTTACCTTCAGGAACTCCCCAGGGCTCTCATGGTAAAGATTTGACAAAGATATTCTGGCAGGTCTGACAGAGAGAGGGAAGCATAATAATTGTGAAGTATATTCTGCCCCTTCTTCATTAAAATGGCTTTATTTCAAAGCCTATTCCATCTGGAGGAATTTTACAACTCCTTCTGGGTTTCCTGTCTCATCTAAGGGAGAAATATATCATAGTCCACAGGGGCCAAGGATTCAAGGAAACGTATTTGAAATACCAGGGGAGACAGTAGGGGGATGGGAAAGAAAGATATCACTAGAGAAATATGAGTGAATGTCACAGTCCTGAGATATGAGTCAATGCCACAGTCCTGAGACACACACCCACAGAAGACTGACATTTAGTAGAAATATTGCAGAATATCCCCCACATCCTACACCTTACTACCACACCAAAAGGGCCCCTGTGTAATAACAATGGATTATATCAGAAAAAGTTGAAAGATAAATGCTTCTTTTTTTGATGGTGTGTACTTATAAAACCCCAAACCACAAGAAGACAAAAAACAAAAAAGGGGAAACTAGAAGACTTTGAATCTCTGACACCTGCATCTACAACACACACTAAACACAGCCTAAAATAGCCAGATCAACAAAAATCTTTACACTATACAATGTACTTCCATTCCTAATACCCGATATGTTTGAATTTCAGCAACAACAACAAAAAAAAACAAGACGTATGAAGAGGCAAGACAAATCACATTCTAGAGAGACAAAGCAATCATCAAAACCATATTCAAATATAACACAGATATTGGAATTATCAGAGAGGTAATTTCAAATAACTACAATTAACATGTTAAGAGTTCTAATGGATAAAGTAGATAGCCTGCAAGAGCACATAAGTAATATAAGCAGAAATGTGGAATTTGAAGAAAGATTTTAAAAGAACTGATAGAAATCAAAAACAGTGTAACATAAAAAAAAAGCCTTTGATGGGGTTATTAATAGACTTGACATGGCCAAAAAAAATTGGCGAGGTTGACTGACAACAAAACTTCTTAAAACTGAATTGGAAAAAATATTAGAAAAGCCAAGCATCCAACAACTGTGGAATTTCAAAAGGTGTAAAGTATGCCTAGTTGGCTTATCAGAAGTACAAGAAAGAGATAACAGAGGAGAAATTTGTAAAATAGTAATGGTGAAAATTTTTTCAGAATTAAGGATGGACACTAAACTTAAATGCAAAACATAAAGCTATAAATCTATTAGAAATAAACAGAAGAAAATCTTTAGGACCTAGGGCTAGGCAAAAATTTCCTACACATGACACCAAAAACATGACCCATAAAAGAAAAATTGGCAAATTGGACTATGTAAAATTAATTTTTTTTCTGTGAAGGACCCTGTTATGGGGATGAAAAAAATAGGTGAGAAAAAATATCTGTAAACCATATATCTGATAAAGGACTAGTTTCTAGAATATATTTTACAAAAGCTCAATAGTAAGGAAATAAGCATTCCATTTAAAAACTGGGCAAAAGACATCAACATTTTACCCAAGAGGATGTTCAAATGGCATATAAACAAAGGAGACCATGTTAAACATTGTCAGAGGACTTTAAGAACAATAATTGAGAGTGCTGTGGAGACAAAGGGTCCTTTTTTTTGTTTTGTTTTACAAAAATAAACACCTCGCAATAGGAAAGCCATTTATTGGGAACTATGCATACTACCTGTTTTTGGCTTGGGTTAATATTTAAAAACCCAAAAGGGTTTGGTTTTTAAAACCCATTAGTGTTGGCTGCTAATGGCTCATCAGTAATTATCTCTCCACGAGTTTCCCTAGGCTAAAGAGAGTATCCTTGCCAAAGGTTGCCCCGCTTAGGATGGGGGAAGGCAGCCTGCAGCCAAAGATGAATAGTTGTGTGGGTAGAAAGGACTGAACTTCTTGACTCAATTGGGATGATTCCTGGGTGCCAGAACTCCCCATGGGGTCTGCTGAGGTCTTTGTTGTGACTGCATCCCATCCCATCTTACAGACATCTCTAAGGCACACAAAGGCACTTTCTATTGAGAAGGGAGGTTTTATCCAATACCCTGATAAATTCATATGTATATATATACACACATACACACATATGTATATATATGATAAAAAAAGATCTTGGGGAGATGTGCTGTGCTACAGGGGTTTGTGATAAAGGATTAATTTTCTTAATTACTATATTTTTCAAGAATCGATATTATGTTTAAAGCAAAATTAGGAATGCCCTTGTTCTCCAGATATCAGGATATCTGGACACTCCCAAGTCTGCATCTGTTTAGTAAACATTATTAATCTGTTCCCTTAACCATAAACATCTAGGGGCTAGGAATTCCTCACTTTCTGGGAATGCAACCCAGCAAGTCTCAGCCTCATTTTCCTAGCCTTCACTCAAAATGGAGTCACTCCAGTTTGAACACCTCTGACACAGGACTTCCTTCCAAAGAGTACAGTAAGAAAAGGAAAAGAAAGAGGGACTTTTCTGTGGAGAAACATGATGGACACTACCTCAGCCAGGTGATCAAGGTCAGCATCAACAGCAATAAATCTCACCAGTATCATCAAAACGGTCAAGGTCATCAGAAACAAGAAAAGTCTTAGAAACTGTCACAGTCAAGCGGAGCCTAAGGACACATGACAACTAAGTGTAATGTGGTGTCCTGGATGAGATCCTTGAACAGAAAATAAAATTAGGCAAAAACTAAGGAGATCTGGATAAAATATTGACATTAGCTAATAGTAACAAATCAATATTAGTTGAGTAATTATTGCAAATATACCATACTCGTGTAAGATGTTGGTTATAGGAGGTATTGAGTACAAGGCATATAGGTGCTCTTTGTACTAATTTCTTAATTTTTCTGTAAGTCCAAAACTGTCCAAAAAGTTAAGACTATTTTTTAAAAATATTCAAGTATCACAATATATTAAATTAATAATTTAAACTAGAATAATATGATTAAGTCAATAAATACTAAAAAAATAATAATAAGAAGAAAAAGGGCTTGGCAGGAATAAGAAGACCTAGTCACTACTACAGGACAACTGATCTCTTCCAACTCTAGCTCATAAATCTACTCACTGTATAGTGGCCAATATCTTTTGCCATTTTTAATATTTTAGTTTACTTTAAAATTGTTTTTCTAGTAATGTAAATAGCAATAATTTGCAGAATAGCTGACTACATTTGATGAAAAAACTGAACTGCCTGTACTTTTCCTAATTGTATTACTTGTTCTACCTTACTTTGCTATTTCAAAATAAATTCTTTTTGTCAAATTAGTGAGATAATTTTCCCATCATGTTAGAATAATTTTATCTAAACCTAATGGTTTTTAATGCTCATTTTGAAAAATATTCACTTTGCTACATTTTATTAATAGGTACTTTACAAATTCTCCATTACTACCTAATTGTGCAAAATGCTCTTGCCTACTTCTATTATTAAAGCCAGGTTTCAAAATGAATTCAATACCTTAGCATTTAAAAATAATTATTAATTTCATGCCTACTTGCTTTCTACGTGTTTTATTCCTGATATATTTATACAGATCCTGCCTATTCTTTTCATCCTTTAAATAGCGTTAACTGCTTTTTCACTGTTCTCATGTTTATTTGCAGATCTCAAAAATTGGCTTGCATCCTAACTTTTCCTCCTCTAACCACAATAATCCCGATTTTCACCATTAGGTTTTCAAAAGATTATTTTTTGGAAAACTGAAAAAGATATTTTGTTTTTCTAAATTATACACTTGAGGAATATACATGATATGTTATAATTATGTAAACATGGGTTTTTCTCTGCCTTTATCTACAGAAATGTTGGCTAACATCTATATCAAGTCCATAGTCAAAACTTCACTTTCTAATGTCTTTAGATAGTTTTCTAACATCTCAAACCATTTAACATCAGAAAGTGATTTAAAAATTATTGATTAACATAAAAATCATTTATTCCATCAATAGGTAGCTATTTCTGATTTATTTTAAAAATTATCCTCTAATTATCCTTATTTTTCTCCTTAAAATAAGATTATTTAAGAAATATATACATCATGAATGTATTTTCTGGTATTCCTCATGTAATATTGAGTTTCAGGACTAGAAAGGACTTTAAAAGTCCTCCAATTATATCACGATACAATGTAGATTCCATTCTTAAGAAACCCTTAGCCGGCTGGGCGCGGTGGCTCATGCCTGTAATCCCAGCACTTTGGGAGGCTGAGGCTGGTGGATCACAAGGTCAAGAGATCGAGCCCATCCTGGCCAACATGGTGAAACCCCAACTCTACTAAAAATACAAAAATTAGCTGGGCGTGGTGGCATGCGCCTGTAATCCCAGCAACTCCGGAGGCTGAGGTAGGAGAATCACTTGAACCCAGGAGGTGGAGGTTGCAGTGAGCCGACATTGTGCCACTGCACTCTAGCCTGGGCCACAGAGTGAGACTCCGTCTCAAAAAAACAAAAACAAACAAACAAAAAAATCCCTTGGCCTCAGGCTTCATTCACACACTCACCTCTCATATGATATTGTAATTGCCTCTTAAGTTTTCTTCATTTTTCCATAGTGGCATCAGTAAATCTCCCAAATGCAAATGCCATTGTATGGCATTTCTTGAACTTTGTTTATTGTCCTATTTCCACATTTTCACTCTGTCTATATCTGCAACTTTAGCTCTACAAATTTACATTTTTCTCTATTGTTCTCTACCCAAAGATAGAATATTTTCATGAAATAACTCCATGATCTTATTGTCAGAGACAAACTTTGAGCTGTTAGATCAGCGAAAAAAACTCAGGTGGTCAATTCCAATGGTTGAATGTAGAATAATTGTCTATATCACTCTATGTCCAAGTCAGGCATTTGAAAGAAAATAACAAAAAAGAAGCTCAGATCTCTAAAACAGATATGCCAAGATTGAAAGCATCCCAACCTATGCATGCATGAAAGGGGAGTGACACAGTAGGGTAGGAAGAAATATAGGAAAAAATGTTTGTTTGGATGTCCAATTTTCAAACAAGTTCTTCCACTGAACTATTCAGTCTTCTGAATGCTACTTCTTTATTAAATTTTTATGATAAAATACATGTAAAAGTTATCTTTTTAATATTTACATTTTTTTTCTAATAGCTTTATAGTCATACCCCTCATTTTTAGGTATTTGATCCTTTTTTACATAGTTAATTTTTATGCTGTGATATGGGATCCTACTTATTTCACATATGGATGTACAGTTTTCCCAGAATCTTTCTCAAAAAACACTCTTTTCTTCATTGTATGGTCTTGACATCCTTGTTGAAAATCCATTGATCTTAGATATTTGGGATTATTTCTGGAAACATTAATTTGTATGCCAATCCTTATGACAGTACCACATAGATTACTGTAGCTTTGCAGATTTTGAAATTGGGAACTATGAGTCATCTAACATCGTTCTTTTGCTTCTTTGTTTGTTTTTCCTATTTGGGGTTCCTTGCAAATCCACATGAATTTTAGAAACAGATTTATCATATCAAGGCTATCTTCTGGGTCAAGATGGCAGCCTAGAAGCTGCTCATGTGCACCACTCCCATGGACAGGAAACAAAAGGGCTAGTGAACGCTGACCCTGCAGGCCAGTCCCCTGAGAAACCATGTCAGGACCCATCAAGGTAGAAGGAGACTCAAAGAGCAGAAAGGAGCAAAGTTGGACATCAGCCTCTCTGGGCTCAGCATGGAGCCAGGAGAATCTCTCCAATATTCTCTGAGAAGGGAGGAATGAGTGAGAACCCAGTGGGGGATTCACACTCTCCACAGGGACTTGAGGGAATGTGAGAATCCCCCTGGCACCCCTGTGCCCCCTCACTATGCTGAGGCAGCATTCTAGACTGAGGCAGAGAACCTCCCAGATGTTTCGTGAAGGAAACTTTTGAGTCCAAGGGGGCCTCTGCAAGCCTAGGCCCCAGAGAAACTAGTACTGGCACTGTAGTTACAACAGAGGCCACAGTTGCAGTGCAGTGCAGTGCAGTACCTGGGAGGAGTAAGATTGTTCCATCCCTCTTGCCGGACAAGGCTTAGCACTAGCTTTTGGTCCAGTGTTCCCAATTCTGTCTGAACTCAGCTAGTAGCTGCAGCCTCTGTTTTTTCCTAGAAAGCTCTTGGATGGCAGGGCAGGTGACCCCACTCACCCCTGTCACTGGAACCCAGACGGGCAACACCTGCTGGAGCTTCCAACCCAGTGGTCCTACTTTTATGTGGATTCACCTGGAGAGGGGCATGCAGGCTCCTGTTGTTCCAGGAAACACATGGATAGCAGGGAAGGTGACCCAATCTACCCTGCCACTGGTAGCCAGGTGGTTTCACTTGCTAGGGCTTCCAGCCCAGCAATCCCTCTTCTGCATGAACTCAGCTGGAGGGCACAACCTCCTGTTGTCCTGGAAAATACTCAGACGGGTAACTGCATTCACCCCCGCCACTCATAGCCAGGCGAGACATGTCTGCTAGAGCTTTTAGTCCAATGGTCCTACTTCTGCCTGAATTTACTGAGGGATGTAGCTTCTTCTTGCTCTGGAAACACGCAAATGGCAGGGTGGGAAACTCAACCCATCTGCACCTCTTGTAGCCAGATAGGCCACATCTGCTAGAGCTTCCAGCTCAGTGGTCTTGCTTCTGTCAGAACTCTGTTGGCACGCGCAACAGTGTGTTCTCCCAGGAAACACTTGAATAGCAGAATAGGACTGAGCTGGCAAGGATATGCCCTGTCTGTCAACTGTAGCCCCTGCATAAGGAAGACCTGTGGACCAGAACATCCAGCAAAATGAACATAGGCACAGCATCAGTAATCAGAAGGGCTCCTCCTAGATTCAGGAGTAGATTAGAATCAAAGCCAGTTGACTGAAACCACCTTGTACAACAATCGAACCCCCAAGGGCATCCAACAGGATAAAAGCATGAAATAAAACCCATCCAAAGAACAGCAACTTCAAAGGCTGAAGGATCATTAGCCCACACAGATGAGAAACACACACACACACACACACACACACACACAAACAATGTAAGAATTCTGGCAACTCAAAAAGCTGTGTCTTCTTACCTCCAAATAACCACACTAGTTCCCCAGCAATGGTACTTAACCAGGCTGAAATGGCTGAAATGTCAATAATAGAATTCAGAATATGGATAGGAATGAAAATCACCAACATTCAGGAGAAAGTTGAAACCCAACCCAAGGAATCTAAGCAATACAATAAAATATACAGGAGATAGCAAACAAAATGACCATTTTAAGAAAGAACCAAACTCTAAACTGATAAAGCTGAAAAACTCACTTCAAGAATTTTACAATACAGTTGCATGTAATAACAGTAGAATCAAACAAGCCGAGGAAAGAATCTGAGAGCTAAAAGGATGGGTTCTCCGAAATAACTCAGTCAGACAAAAATAAAGAAAAAGAATAAAGAAGAATGAACAAAAACTCTGAGAAATATGAGATTATGTAAAGAGAACAAATCTACAATTCCTTGGCATCCATGAAATAGAGGGAGAGAAAGCAAGCAACTAGAAAAGCATATTTGAGGATGTTATCCACAAACATTTCTCCAACCGCTGCAGAGGCCAACATTCAAATCCAGAAAATGCAGAGAAACCCTGAGAGATACTATCCAAGAAGACCATCTTGAAGACACATGGTCATCAGATTCTCTAAGGTCAAAATGAAAGGAAAAAATGTTAAAGGCAGCTAGAGAGAAGGAGCAAATCATCTACAAAGGGAACCCATTAGGCTAACAGTGGGTCTTTCAGAGAAACTCCACAAACCAGAGAAGATTGAGGGCCTATATTCAGCATTTTTAAAGAAAATAATCTACCAATAATTTCATGTCTTCCCAAACTAAGCTTCATAAACAAAGGAAAAATAAGATCCTTTTTAGACAAGCAAATGCTAAGGGAATTTAGTACCACCAGACCTGCCTTGCAAGATGTCTTTAAGGGAGTGCTAAATATGGAAAGGAAATACCCTTACCAGCCACCACAAAAACATAGTCAAGTACATAAACCATTGAAACTGTAAAGCAACCACACAATGAAGACTGCATAATAACCAGCTAACAACATGATGACAGGATCAAACCTGCACATATTGATATTAACCTTGAATGTAAATGGGCTAAATGCACCAATTAAAAGGCACAGAGTGGCAAGTTGGATGAAGAAGCAAGATCCAACTGTATGCTATCTAAAAGAGACCCATCTTACATGCAATGACAACCACAGGCTCAAAGTAAAGAGATGGAGATAAATTTATCAAGCAAATGAAAAACAGAAAAAGGCAGGGATTCAAATTCTAATTCCAGATAAAACTTGACTTTAAACCAACAATTATGAAAACAGGGAAAGAAGGGGATTACATAATGGTAAAGGGTTCAAATCAACAAGAATACTTAACTATTTTAAATATTATGCGCCCAACACAGGAGCACCCATATTTATAAAGCAAGCTCTTAGAGACATACACGGAGACTTAGATAAGCACTCAGTAATAGTGGGAGACTTCAATATTACACTGACAGTATTAGATCATTGAGGCAGAAAACTAACAAAGATATTTGAGACCTGAACTCAACATTTAACCAAATGGGTCTAACAAACATCTATGGAAATATCCACACAAAACCAACAGAGTATGTATTATTCTCATCTGCACATGGCACATATTCTAAAATCAACCACCCAATAGAACATAAAACAATCCTCAGCAAATTGAAAAACAATGAAATCATAACAACCACAGTCTTGGACCACAGCACAATAAAAATAGAAATTAATCATAAGAAAATTGCTCAAAACCATGCAATTACATGGAAATTAAACAGTCTGCTCCTCAAAGTTGTTTAAATAAACAATAAAATTAAGGCAGAGATCAAGAAGTTCTTTGAAACTAATGAGAATAAAGATACAATATATAAGAATCTCTGGGACACAGCTAAAGCGTGTTAAAAGGGAAGTTGATAGCACTAAATGCCCACATAGAAAATTAGAAAGATCCCAAATTAACAACCTAACATCACACTGACAGAATCTAGAGAAAGAAGAGTAAACCAACCACAAAGCAATCAGGAGGCAACAGATAACAAAACCAGAGCTGACATGAAGGAAATTGATTAAAAAAAATACAAAATATAATTGAGTGCAGGAATTTGTTTTTTGAAAGAATAAATAAGATTGCCTGATTGCTACCTAAACTAATAAAGAAAAAAAGAAGATTCAAATAAACACAATCAGAAATAAAACAGGAGACATTACCACTGAGCCCGCTGAAATACAAGAAAACCCTCAGAGATGACTATGAGGAACTCTATGCACACAAACTAGAAAAGCTAGAAGAAATTAATAAATTCCTGGAAATGTAGAACTTCATAATATTGAACAAAGAAGAAATCGAATCCCTAAACAGAATGATAACAGGTTTCAAGTTTGAATCCATAATAAAAAGCCTACCAACCAGAAAAAAAGCCCAGGACAAGAAGTATTCACAGCTGAATTCTACTGGATGTATAAAGAAAAGCTGGTACCATTCCAATGGAAACTATTCCATAAAACTGAGGAGGAGGGACTTATTTCTAATTCATTATATGAGTCCAGCATCACTGGGATACCAAAACCTGGCAGAGGCACAACAAAAAAAGAAAATTTCAGGCCAATATATTTGATGAACAGAAATGCAAAGATCCTCAACAAAATGCTAACAAACTGAATTCACTAGCACATCAAAAGCTAATCCACTTCCAACAAGTGGGCTTTATTCCTGGGATACAAGGTTGGTTCAACATATGCAAATCAAATCAATAAATGTGATTTATTACATAAACAGAACTAAAAAGGCATCACATAATCACTTTGACAGATGCAGAAAAGGATTTTAATAAAATTTAATATCTCTTTATGTTAAAAAAAAACCCTCAACAAATTAGGCATTTCAGGAGCATGCTTCAAAATGGTAAGAGCCATCTATGACAAACCCACAGCCAACATCCTACTGAATGGGCAAAAGCTAGAAGCATTCCTCGTGGAAAGCAGAGTAAGACAAGGATGCCTACTCTCACCACTCCTATTCAACATGGCACTAGAAGTCCTAGCCATAGCAAGCAGGCAAGAAGAAGAAATAAAAGGCATTCATATAGGAAGAAAGAAAGTCAAACTATCTTTGTTTGTAGATGATATGATTTTGTACATAGAAAACCCCATCGTCTCTACCCCAAAGCTCCTCAATGTAATAAAAAAACTTCAGCAAAGTTTCAGGATGCAAAATCATTGCATAAAAACCAGTAGCATTTCTGTACATCAACAACTTCCTAGCTAAGAGCCAAATCAAGAATGTGATCCCATTCACAATAGTGACAAAAAGAATAAAATGACTACGAGTACAGCTCACCAGGGAGGTAAATGATCTCTACAATGACAAGTAGAAAATACTACTCAAAGAAATCACAGATGACAAAAACAAATAGAAAAACATTACATGCTCATCGTTTGGAAGAATCAATATTGTTAAAATGGCCATACTGCCCAAAGGAATTTACAGATTCAATGCTATTCCTATCAAACTACCAATAACATTCTTCATATAATTGGAAAAATCTATTTTAAAATTCCTATGGAACCAAAAGGGAGCTTGAATAGCTAGAGCAATCCTAAGCAAAACGAACGTAGCTGAAAGCATCATGTTATCCAACTTCAAACTATACTGCAAGGCTACAGTAACCAAAACAGCATGGAACTGGCACAAAAACAGACACATAGACCATTGGAACAGAATAGATAGCCTAGAAATAAAGTTGCACACCTACAATTGTCTGTTATTCAATGAAGCTGACAAAAACAACCAGTTGGGAAAAGACTCTCTTCAGTAAATGGTGCCAGGATAACTAGCTGGCCATATGAAAAAGATGGAAACTGGACCCTTTCCTTACACTTATACAAAAGTCAACTTAAGATGGATTAAAACTTAAAATGTAAGACTTAAAAGTATAAAACCTCTAAAATATAACTTAGGAAATACTATTCTAGATGTAAACCCGGACAAACATTTCATTATGAAAACTCCAAAAGCAATTTGCTGCAAAACAAAAAACAAAAAACAAACAAACAAAAAAAAAACAAAACATGTATGAGCTAATTAAACTAAAGAGCTTTTGCACAGCAAAACAAACTATCAGCAAAGTAAATATTCTACAGAATGAAAGAAAACATTTGCAAACTATGCATCCAACAAAGTGTAATATCAAGAATCGGTGAGACACTTAAACTAATTAACAAGCAAAAAACAATAAACCCATTTAAAAATGGGCAAAATAAATGTACAGACACTTTTCAAAAGAAGACATACATGCGGTCAATAAACACATAAAAATGCTCAACATCACTAATAATTAGAAAAATGGAAATCAAAATCACAATGACATACCATCTCACACCAAGGATGGTTATTACTAAAAGGTCAAAAAATAACTGATGCTGGCAAGGTTGTTGAGAAAAGAGAACACATACACTGAGGGTGGGAATATAAGTTGTTTCTCACTAACTAACTTACACATTATGGAAAGCAGTGTGGCAATTTCTCAAAGAGCTAAAAACAGAAATCCCATTCAATCCAGCAATCCCATTATTGGGTATGTACCCAAAGGAACATACATTGCTCTACCATATAGACACAAGCATGCATATGTTCATTGCAGCACAGTTTACAATAGCAAAGACATGGAATCAACCTAAATGCCCATCAATGATAGACTGGATAAAGAAAATATGGTACATATACACAACCGAGTACTATGCAGCCATAAGAAAAGAATGAAATCATGTCCTCAGGTATGGAGCTGGAGGCCATTATTCTAAATGAAGTAATGCAGAAACAGAAAACCAAATACTGCATGTTCTCATTTGTAAGTGGGAGCTAAAAATGAATGCAAAGAAGGCAGTAGACGCGGATGCAAAGAAGGGAGCAACAGACACCAGGGCATTCCTGAGGGTAGAGGTTGGGAGGAGGGAGAGGATCAAAAAACTACTTACTGGGAACTATGCTTATCACCTGGGTAACAAAATAATGTGTACTCCAAACCCCTGTGACACACAATTTACCTATATAACAAACTTGCACATATACTCTTGAATCTAAAATAATTTTTTAAAGACTTGGAAAAGCAATTCCCCATGACTTTGGGAAAGCAGGATTTTTCAGTTAAAATGTCAGAGTGACCCTTTGCTCTGGCTGATTCACTGAGTAGCTGCACAATCTTCCATTGACTTATGCACATATCCAGCCTAGTATGACTTCACTGTTGTTATAAACAAGCACAGTGCCTTAAACTAACAAATGGCCACATTATTAAATCAATTGTTCCTAAAGGGGAAAAAATAAAGAATAAAGAAAAAATTATGTGGCCAAAAAAAGCCAATTTTGATGGGGCTGCTTTAAAAGTGTGTGGTTCACTTTGGAGTATTGCCATCTTAACAATATTAAATTTTCCAATTAATGAATATATGATGATGTTCCACTTATTTAAGTCTTCTTTATAGTTTCCTAGCAAAATATTGCAGTTTTCAGTGTAAAAGCCTTATATTATATTTCATTTCCTTTGGCTACATACCAAGTAGTGGTATTACTGAATCATATGGTAATTCTCTTTTTAATTTTTTGAAGAATGTCCATACTTTTTCCACAATTGCTGTTCTAATTTACATTCCCATCAGCAGAATGTAAGTGCTCCCCTTTCTCCACATCCTCACCAACCCTTGTTAACTTTCAATTGTTTTCATAGCATTCATTGTGACTGGATTAAGCTGATATCTCATTTTGGTTTTAGTTTGTATTTCCCTGATGATTAGAGATGTTGAGCATTTATTCCTATATCTGTTGTTCATTTGCATGTCTTCTTTTGAGAAATGTCTATTCAGGTCTTTTGCCCATTTTAAAATCAGGTTATTTGTACTTTTGTTGTTGGGTTGTTTGAGTTCCTTATATATTTTGGATATTAACCCTTCAGCAAATGTATGATTTCTTATAGGAAGAAAGATAAAATGTGGATGGGGGAGAGGGTAAAAAGAGAATGCAAATAGTGGGGCCGTAACCTTCTCACAACCATAACGTAATCATACCTGGCACAGCACAGGGCACAAAGTAGGCTCTCTTTTTATAGGTTGTCTCTTTGGTTTATTGATTGTTTCCTTTGTTGTGCAGAAGCTTTTTAGTTTGATGTAATTCCATTTGTCTACATTGGATTTTGTTGCTTGTGCTTTTCAGGTTTTATCCCAAAACTTTCTGCCTAGAAGCTTTTCCCCTATGTTTTTTTCTACCAGTTTTGCAGTTTCAGGTCTCACACCTTTAATCCATTTTGAATTGGTTTTTGTATATGGTGAGAGATAAGGATCTAATTTTTTTCTTCTGCTTATGTTTGTTCAGTTTTTCCAGCACTATTTATTGAAGAGATTGCACTTTCCCCATTTTGTGTACTTGGCATTTTTGCTGAAAATCAATAAGCTGTAAATGAGTGGGTTTGTTTCTGGGCTTTCTATTTTGCTCCATTAGTCTATGTGTCTGTTTTTATGCCAGCATCTTTGTACTTTGTTTACTGTAGCTTTGTAGTGTGTTTTGAAGTTGGATAGTGTGATGCCACCATCACACTGTGTGTGTGTGTGTGTGTTTTTGTGTGTGTGTGTTTCTGAAGACTGCTTTGGCTATTCAAGGCCTTTTGTGGTTCCATAAAATTTTTAAGATTTTTTTTTCTATTTCTTTGAAGAATGTCATTGGTATTTCCATAGCGATTGCATTGAATTTGTGGATGACTTTGAGTAGTATGTACATTTTAACAATATTTTTACAATTTATGAACATGGAATATCCATATTTTTCTATATCTTCAATATTTCTTTCATCAATGGTTTCTAGTTTTTATTATTGAGATCTTTCATCTTCTTGGTTAAATTTGTTCCTATGATTTTTTTTTTGTAGCTCCTGTATGATATGGAATTACTTTCTGGATTCATTTTTCAGATAATTTTCTATTGGCATACAGAAATGCAACTGATTTTTGTGTGTTGATTTTGTACCCTGTGACTTCAATGAATTTATGTATTAGGTGTAATGGTTTTTGGTGGAATCTTTGAGGTTTTCTATACATCAGATCATGTCATCTGTAAACAGGGACAACCTGACTTCCTCCATTTAAGGTTGGATGTCTTTCATTTCTTTCTCTTGCCTAATTGCTCTGGCTAGAACTTATAAGTGATTTTTGTATGCTGGTCTTCTTTCTTGCAACATTGCTGAATTTGTTAATTAGCTCTAATAAGTTTTGGTATAAATCCTTTAGAATTTTCTCTATGTAATACAATGTCATCTGTAAAGACAGTTTTACTTTTTCGTTTCTAATTTGGATGCTTTTTCTTTTATTTATTCTCACTGCTCTGCATAAAACTACCATTACAATGTTGAAAAGAGGTGAGAACAGAGGATGCTCTTGTCTTGCTTCTGATCTTAGGGTAAAGTTTTCCTCCATTTGATTATAATGTTAACTATGAGTTTTTAAATAAGCACCCTTATAATATTGAGAAAGAACCTGTCTATTGCTAGTTTTCTGAGTGGGTTTTTTCTTGAAAGAGTGTTGGATTTTGTCAAGATTTTTTTGCACTAGTTGAGATGAACACATATACATATATATATTTTAAAATTTTTCTTTCATTCTAATAATATGGTTTATTACATTGATTTTATTCACTCTTGGAATAAATCCCACTTGGTCATATTATTTTAACATGCGGCTGGATTTAGTTTGCCAGTTTTAATTGAGAATGTTTTGCATCTATATTCATAAGGGATTTTTGTTTGTAATTTAATTTTCTTATGTCTTAGAGTAATGCCGGCCTCTTAGAATGAGTTAAAAAGAGTTTTATTTATTTTTTGGAAGAATTTATTTAGGATTTGTGTTAATTCTTCTTTAAATGTTTGGTAGAATTCACTAGTGAAGCCATCTATCTAGTCCTTAGCTTTCCTTTGTTAGGAGGTTTCTGTTTTCTGTTTTTATTTTAGACCTAGGGGGCACATGTGCAGGTTTGTTACACGGGCATATTGCATGATGCTGAGGTTTGGAGAATAGACCCGTTCCCCCAGGTTGTGAGAATAGTACCCAATAGGTGGTTTTTCAAACCATACCCTTTTCCCTCCTTCCACCTTCTAGCAGTCCATAGTGTCTATTGTTCCCATATTTATGTTTATTTCTGTTCAATGTGTGGCTCCCACTTATAACTGAGAACAGGAAATATTTGTTTTTCTGTTTCTGCATTAATTTGCATAGGATTATGGCCTCCAGCTGCATCCATGTTGCTGCAAAGAACATGATTTCAATCGTTTTTATGGCTGCATAGTATTCCATGGTGTATATGCACCACACTTTCTTTATCCAATCCATTGATGGGCACCTATGTTGATTCCATGTCTTTGCTATTGTAAATAGCATGGTGATGAACATGCAGAGTGCATGTGCCATTTATTGATTTATTTTCCTTTGGATATATAATCAGTAATGGGATTAAGGGGTTAAATGGTAGCTCTGTTTTAAGTTATTTAAAAACTTCTCCATACTGCTTTCCACAGTGGCTGAACTAATATGCATTCCCACTAAAAATGTGTAAGTGTTCCCTTCCATTTCCCATAGCCTCACGAGCATGTTTTGTTTTTTTTTTTTTACTTTTTAATAATAGCCATTCTGACTGGTGTGAGATACTATCTTATTATGGTTTTTACTTGCATTTCTCTGATGATTAGTGATGTTAGCAGTTTTTCACGTGTGTCTTGGCTGCTTGTATGTCTTCTTTTGAGAAGTGTCCTTTTCCTTTTTTTTTTTTTTTTTTTTTTTTGAGATGGAGTCTCACTGTGTTCCCAGGCTAGAGTGCCTTGGTGCGATCTTGGCTCACTGCAATCTCCGCCTCCCAGGTTCAAGCGATTCTCCTGCCTCAGCCTCCCAAGTAGCTGGGATTACAGGTATGCGGCACCACACTCAGCTAATTTTTGTATTTTTAGTAAAGACGGGGTCTCACCATGTTGGCCAGGATGGTTTCGATCTCCTGACCTCGTGATCTGCCTGGCCTTGGCCTCCCAAAGTGCTGGGATTACAGGTGTGAGCCACAGCGCCTGGCCCTTTCCCATTTTTTAAATGAGGTTGTTAGTTGTTTGTTGATTTATTTAAATTCCATATAGATTCTGCATATTAGCCTTTGTCAGATGCATAGTTTATGAACATTTTCTTCTACTCTTTAGGTTGTCTGTTTACTTTGTTGACAGTTTCTTTTGCTGTGCCGAACGAAGCTCTTCAGTTTAATTAGGTCCCACTTGTCAATTTTTGTTTCTGTTCCAATTGCTTTTGTGGGCTTGGCCAAAAATTGTTTGCCAAAGGCAATGTCAAGAAGGGTATTTCCTAGGTTTTCTTCAAGGATTTTTATAGTTTAAGGTCTTACATTTAAATATTTCAACCATCTCGAGTTCATTTTTGTTTATGGTGAATGGTAGGGTCTAGTTTCGTTTTGCGTGTGGCTGGCCAGTTATCCCAGTACCGTTCATTAAACAGGGAGTCCTTTGGTAGGTTTTTGATTACCGATTCAATCTCATACTTGTTATAAATCTATGCAGATTTTCTGTTTCCTTTGGAATTTAGTTTGGATAGTTTCTGTGTTTTTAGGAATCTGTCTATTTTACCTAGGTTATCTATCGTAGTATTTTGCTATAAAACTTTTTATTTCTGCAAGATCAGCACTAATGCCTTCACTTTTATTTCTGATGGTGGTAATTTGATTATTCACTTGTTTCTTATTCATTCTGATTTAATATTTGTTAATTTTACTGATCTTTCCAAAAGCCAACTTCTCATTTTATTGAATCTCGGTGTTGTCCTGAATTCTCTATTTTGTTTATATCTGCTCTATTTTGTTGGTTTACTTACCCTTTCTTCCCTTCTGCTAGCTTTGGGTTTACTTTGCTCTTTTTCCCTAGTTCTTTGAGAAATAAAGGTAGGTTATTGATTTGATATCATTCTTCATTTTTAATGTAGGTATTTACAGGTATAAATTCCCTTCCAAAATATATAAGCCTAATACATTTTGGTATATTGTATGTTTTTGTCTCAAAACAAAATATTCCTAATTTCTCTGTGATTTCTTCTTTGACCATTTTTTGTCTGAGTGTATTGTTTAATTTCCACATACTTGTGAATTTTCTAGTTTTCCTTCTGATATTGATTTCTAGTTTTACTCCAGGTTATTGGAGAATAAATGTCATATGTCTTCAAAATTTTAAATTCTGAGATGTGTTTTGTGACCTAATATACAGCTATGTTAAAAGTGTTTTATGTATACTTAATACAAAACATGTATTTTGCTCTGGCTTGATAAGGTGTTTTGCACATGTCTGTTAGGTTCTAGTTTGTTTAGTGTTTTTAAAATTCTGTAGTTTCTTATTCATGTTCTTTTACAATTCTTTATACATTGTTAAAAGTAGGATATTGATATTTCTAACTATTATTGTAGAAATGTTTTTTCCTCTTCAATTTTATCAATTTAAGGGGTTCTGTTGTTGTCTATGTGTTTGTAATTATTATATCTTCTTGATGATTGACCCTTTAATCAATTTGTAAGTATTTTTATTGTCTTTTATAATTTTTGATGTAAAATCTATTTTGTTTGATATCATTAAAGCCACCCTAGCAATGTTTTTGTTACTATTTCCATGGTACTTTTTAATCATTTTACCTTCAACCTATTTGTGTCTTTGGATCTAAAATAAGTTTTTTAGATAGAATATCGTTGAATTATTGTTTATATTAAATCTACCACTCTTATCTTTAACTGAGTTTAATCAATTTTCCTTTAATTACTAATAAAGAGTGACTTCTTCTATTTTGCTCTGTTTTTATATGTCATATCTATTTTTTCCTGTTTCCTCATTATTGCCTTCTTTAGCATTAAATTAATTTTAATTAATAGATTTTATATTTAGAGAATTTTTAGGTTTGTAGAAAAATTGAGCAGGTAGTGCAGAAAATTCCCACCTTTTTCCCCACCCATAGTTTCCCCTATTTTAAAGATCTTGCATTAGTGTTGTACGTTTGTTACAGTTGATGAACCAATATTGATACATTATTATTAACTAAAATCCATAGATTACATTAGGGTTCACTCTATGTGTTCTACAGTTCTATTACTTTTGACAAATGCATAATGTCACATAGTCACCATTATAGTTTTATACAAAATGCTTTCACTTCCCTAAAACTCCATGTGCTTCAGCGGTCTATCCTCTCTACTTTTCTAATTAAACTCCTTGCAACCAGTGGTCTTTTTACTGTCTCTATAGTTTTTCCTTTTCTAGAGTGTCATATAGTTAGAACCATATAGTATGTAGTCAATTAAGAATGGCTTGTTTTAATTAGAAGTATGCATTTAAGCTTCCTTTATGTCTTTTCATGGTTTCATATAGCTCATTCAATTTATTATTGAATAATATTTTATTGTATAGCTGTACCAGAGTTTGTTTATCCATTCAACATTTGAGTAATGTGTTGTAGGCTTTCAGTTTTGGCAATTATGAATAAAGTTTTTGTAAGCATCATTGTCTTTTTTATTTTGTTAACAGTGTCTTTCACAAAGCAGAAGTGTTTAAATTACTGAAGTCTAACTTATTAACTTTTGTTCATAGATTGTGCTTTTGGTGTCTTACCTAAAACCCGTCGTAAAACCCAAGGTTACCTAGATTTTCTCCTGTTATCTTCTAGAAGTTTTATAGTTTTGTGTTTTACATGTAGGTCTATGATACATTTTGAATTAAGTTTTGTGAAAGTTGTAAAATCTCTATCTAGGTTCTTACATTTTGCTTTTTGCCTGTGGATGTCTTGTTGTCCCAGCATCATTTGTTGATAAGGCTTATTTTTCTCTACTGAATTGCCATTACTCCTTCATCAAAGATCAGTTTACACTATTTGTGTGAGTCAGTTTCTGGGCTTATAAATCTATTTGAAGGCTCTTTCTTTTCTCTTCCTTTACAGTTTTCATTTTTCAGTGGTAGTGTTTCCTTTTGTTCAGGAGATAGCGTCATGCTTTTGTTGTTTCCTCATGTTTATCAACTTATTGTAGAGGCAATGGAATGACACAGGAAAGAGCGTGGGCCTAGAGAGAGAGATTTTTTGTTTCAAGTCCTGCCTCTACTGCTTAGTAGCCATGTGGAGATGTGGATGTGATTTAACTCATGCATGAAAACAGAATAGGGAAACATATTTCAAAAGGCAACTGAAATGATTTAGTTGAAGGTAATGGAAGTAACCACTACTCCTCAGTAAAGTTCTGGGTACTGCAAATGTGCCCTAGTCAAACTTGAATTTATGTTTACTCAAACTCCCCAAATATTTGATGGTAACATTAACATGCCCATCCATCTTTCACTAAGTTGTGAACACTTCCTTGGGCCCGTATGCATCTTGGAAGGAGAAGTCTGATGAGGCCTGCATCCATGGAGTGTTAAGGGATGCCATCCATGATAGCCACATCAATGAGAGGGCTGCTTAGATGCTAGTCTTCCTGAGTTGTGTGCCAAAGTTTGGCCAAAGATGCTGACTCATTTCAGTGGCCTGGGATGTTGGGGAACTCCTCTTTTGCAAAGACAAGGGAAAGAGACATGAGTGGTTGTGAGAAACTTGATTATTAAGGCTCAGTTTTATAAATCAAAAGCAGAACCTGGGATGTCTTTTCAGCTACCTTGGTCTGGCTCTTTTAAGTCAGTTTTTTTTTCCTTTTTTTACTTCCTTTATATTAAAATCATGAAAATAATTTTTGTGTGTGAATGCTGGGATTTTATAAAAACATTCGGCTTCATCAACATCTTCTGTTCTATATCTACATGTTACCTGCTTTGTGCTTGGGGTTGATAAAAGTTAAGGAAACCTGGTCTTTAGGTCTGCATGATTATTTCAGAAAGCATCTTAGCTGAGGAGGAATTAACTGTATTCAAAGAAGACACTATGCATTTGCCAGAAGTCGAACATTTCTGCCAACTCTTAAATAATCTCACTGTCAAAACAAAGGTAAGATTGTAAAACTGTTGTAGCACGTTTCGGGGGTGGTAAAAATTCCCATACTTTCTGTGCTGTTAATTAAGGTCTTGGGGAGATTCTTTGTTAGAATAGATAATCATCAATCCTTCAGATTTGGCTAATTGACATTAGCAACTCCCAACATGCTTACTTTCTGAAGTCCCAATAGATAAACCCAATGCCATGTATCATATTGAACCATTTTATCTGTTGTGCTTTTCTGCTTTCAGTGTCATTAGGATGTTGCTCATTTTCAAAGGAAACCTCCATCTGTAATGAAATGTCATTGTTAATGAAATCAGGAAACCTTTAATGTTATTTAACATTAACATAAAGAAAATCAATATTTAGAGTGGAACATGTCGAAGAATGCATACCTGGGTAATTCTGACAATTTAGAATATTAAAAAATTAATATTGGCAATATTTGTTGAACTCCTAGTAAATTAAATGCATCACTCTGTCTTTATATATAAAAATAAGCCACTTTCTCATTGCATTCAGCTTTTTGTTACACTATTACATTATGTTATCAGTGTATATTAGATCCAGTAGCATATTAGATCCAATCCAATATACTACTAGATAGTAAGTGGCTCAAAAACAGATATAAAATAGAAGTACCCCAGAAAGATTGTGATTTAGAGTCAACATTTCTGTTATAAAACATAGATAAAACTTTCCTTTCAGTATTATTTTTATGAATTATAGAATAAGGTGTGAAATAATTCTGTAAGAAATTATGCATTAATTAATCTATTAATTATAATGTGACAGTCTGGCTATCATTGTAGTCTGATTGAAGTTATATCTGAATTTAAATGTGAATCTTGCATTTATTATCCACATACTTTTTTTTCTTTTAAACTTTTATTTTAGGTTCGGGGGTAAATGCAGGTTTGTTACATGAGTAAATTGCATGCAGCTGGGGTTTGGTGTACAAATGATTTCATCACCCAGGTAGTGAGCATAATACCAGATCTTCACCCTCCTCTCACTCTCTACCCTCAAGTATCCTCTTGTGTCTATTATTCCAATCTTTGTGTCTATTGGTACTCAATGTTTGGCTCCCACTTATAAGTGAGAACCTGTGTTATGTGATTTTCTGTTCCTGCATTAATTTGCTTAAAATAATGGCCTCTCTAGTTGCATCCACATTACTGGAAAGAACAGGATTTCATTCTTTTTAATGGCTGCATAGTATTCCATGGTGTAAACTACAATATCCCTTCATGTTAAAATCTCTCAGCACACTAGGAACTGAAGGAACATAACCCAAAATAATAAGAGCAATCTAGTACTCTTATTCTGAAGCCCACATTGAACATCATACTGAATGGGGAAAAGCCAGCAACATTCCCCTTGAAAACCAGAGCAAGACAAGAATGTCCACTCTCACTACTCCTTATCAATATGGCATTGAAAGTCCTGGCCATAGCAATTAGGCAAGAGAAAGAAATAAAATGCATTTAAATAGGAAGAGAGGAAGTAAAATTATCTATATTCGCAGACATTATGACTCTATAGAAAACCCCATAGTCTCTGTCCAAAGGCTTCTAGAACTGGTAAACGAATTTAGTAAAGTTTCAGTATTAAAAAAATCAATGTACAAAAATCAGTAACATTTCTATATATAACTAATGTCCAAGCCGAGAGCCAAATCAAGAACATGATCTCATTCCTAGTAACTACAAAAAGAATACAACACGTAGGAATACAGCTAATCAGGGAGGTGAATAATCTCTACAATGAGAATTACAAAACATTGCTCAAAGAAATTAGAGATGATAGAAACAAATGAAAAATCTTCCATGCTAATGGATTGGAAGAATCAATATTGTTAAAATGGCCATACTGCCCAAATCAATTCATAGATCAAATCTTGTTTCTATCAAACTACCAATGTCATTTTTCACAGAATTAGAGAGAGCTATTCTAAAATTATGGAATTTAAAAGAGCCAAAGTAGCCAAAGTATCTTAAGCAAAAGGAACAAAGCTGGAGGCATCACATTACCTGACTTCAAGCTATACTGCAAGGCTACAGTAACCAAAACAGCAGTGTGCTGGCACAAAAGCAGACATGTAGACCAATGGAACAGAGGTTAGAGAACCCAGAGGTAAAAGCATACACTTACAACCATCTGACCTTTGGTAAAGTTGACAATAACAAGCAATGGGGAAAGGACTTCCTACCAATAATTGGTACTGGGGTAACTGGCTGGCCATATTCAGAAGATCGAAACTGGACCACTTCCTTTTACCATATGTATTAGTTCATTTTCACACTGCTGATAAAGACATACCTGAGATTGGGAAATTTACAAAAGAAAGAGGTTTATTGGACTTACAGTTCCACGTGGCTGAGGAGGCTTCACAATCATGGTGGAAGGTGAAAGGCAAGGAGGAGCAAGTCACGTCTTACCTGGATGGTGGCAGGTAAGGACAGATTTTGTGCAGGGAAACTCCGTTTTTAAAACCATCAGATCTTGTGAGGCTCATCCACTATCATGAAAACAGAGCAGGAAAGACCCACCCCCATAATTCAATCATCTTCCACTGGGTTCCTCCCACTAAACATGGGAATTGTGGGAACTACAATTCAAGATGAGATTTGTGTGGGGACATGCCAAATCATATTACCATATATAAATATCAACTTGAGATGGATTAAAGACTTAAATGTAGGACCTCAAACTGTAAAAACCCTAGAAGAAAACCTAGGAAATACCATTCTGGACATAGGCCTGGGCAAAAAATTTATGACAAAGTCTCCAAAAGCAATTGCAACAAAAACAAAAATAAATAATGGAATCTAATTAAACTAAAGAGCACAGCAAAAGAAACCATCAACAAAGTAAACAGATGGCATTCAGAATGGTAGAAAATATTTGCAAACTTTGCATCTGACAATGGTCTAATATCCAGAATCTATAAGGAACTTAAACAATTCAACAAGAAATAAAAACAACATCTCCATTGAAAAATGGGCAAAGGATATGAACAGAGACATCTCAGAAGACATACACGTGACCAACAAGCATATGAAAAAAAGCTCAACATCACTAGTGAGTCATTAGAGAAATGCAAATCAAAACCACAATGAGATACCATCTCACACCAGTCAGAAAATCTATTATTAAAAAGTCAGAAGAAACATACATTTTAAAGACTACCTAACCTATTTGACCAATTTATACTTTAGTAATAGTCTTTTAAAAAATAAAGTTATGAAGTTGCTATGGCAATTAAGAGAGAAAGTGTGTGAAACATTCTAATATATTTCCTTAAATACATCAGGGGTCAAATAGTTCATTTCTCTGCACATTCTACTCTTCACTTATTATCTTAATAGTTTTAATGTCAATATATACTTAATGAATAAGTAACTGAGCAATTAGAATTTTTTCTTCTGATAAGAATGAAGATCATCTAATGATCTTCAATGGCAGTTATGATAGGCAGAACTCAGAATAAAATACAAATGTAAAAGGAGAGACTGCATTTCAGAATCATAAAAAGATTTTAAATTATTATAAAGCATAATTAATTTTATAAAGAAATCCCTAAAATCCCAAATCAAGATGAAACCAATGAATCTACCTGTGACATAGTTGAAGGTATAGGCACTTTCAGTGGTTTTAAATCTCTGAAACTTTCTATATAGCTGTATTGAGTTATGTTTAAAATAATCAAAAAGAAAAACCTGCAAAAAAATTCAAAATTGTTTGGAATAAACATATTGTTTTATGGTGTTATTGTACATTCATATTGTTATTCTGATACTATTGTGGGTGTATTACAGCATAAGAGAAATGACTATGTCAGTTCCATTGAGACCTAGGATTTTCAGCACAAGAAAAGAAAGATTAGAAATAATATTGGTGAGGCTTGTAAAACCCTGTATTCCTGAAATCAATTCAGAAGTATAATTATTAATTCATATTAAGTTTATTCCTTAAAAATTTGATTTCCTAGCTCTGTCCACTGAAAGTACCTAGACACAGTGCCTATTTCAATAGCAAAGAGCATCCCTAGTGCCCATATTGTAAATTCTAAGTACAATTCTTCACTAAGACGAGCTAACACTTCTTACACAAAAAGCTATCTAGGTCTAAGGCAAGAAACGTATCCGGAAGACCTAGAACATTTCGTCATACTGCATAGCAAGGATGTACTCAAGGATTTCTACGAACATAGCTAAAAAGACTTAAAATCCCATGCAAGGAGAATCTCTGTAACCAATGGTGAACCAAGTTTTAGCTTCAGTTAGAAAATGCTGCCATCAATTGCAACCTCTTTGTTAAACTCCATAATATTATCACAAAGTAATAAAATAATAGACCCATTGATCACCTTTGAAAGATACTAATTGTACAACTCATCAATCAAAAAAATTTGTAAATGAAGGGAAAACAAGTGTTTTGAACTTGTGTCTTCTTGTTTTGCCTGGTTATGCTTCAGGGCAACCAACTAGATGATGAGTACAAATTTATCTTTAAGGAAGCATTCCAGATAATAAATGAAAAATAAACAGTAAATAAGAACATGACCATTTTCAACACATAATAAAATAAAAGATCAGGGAGTTATTTAATAGGCACTAATATCACACACATATAAAGAGTGATATTTGGATTATGTGCACTCTGTTGGAAGAGAACAAACTATAAAGTTATTGCAAAAAAATGCCAGAATCATATAGAGCTTGGTATATGTATTTATTACAAATAAGCAAACAGAGAAAAAATGATGAATGACACCATGGAGATGAATCAGAAGAAGGCAGGCCATGAGATACTGTACAAGACAATTGACCTTTTTGGTCTCAGAAAATAATAGCTGGAGAAGATGGAATATGGAGTGAGAACCTGTAAATTGAGAGACTTAAGAGATGTCAAGTAACTGCAACCTATAGACCTTATTAGATTTTGACTTAAATAAACTGTACAAAAATACTGTGAGTTTATTTGTATAAGACTAATTAATGTTCCCACCAAAAAACCAAGTATGGAAACTGAAAAAAAAAAAAAAACCCAAACTGTTTAAAGGCAGTAGAGAGTAACCAATAAAGGCCTACCATTTTTTTGTTTTGTTTTTTGTTTTTTTGTTTGTTTTCTTTTATTATTATTATATTTTAAGTTCTAGGGTACATGTACACACCGTGCAGGTTTGTTACATATGTATACATATGCCATGTTGGTGTGCTGCACCTATTAACTCATCACTTACATTAGGTAAATCTCCTAATATTTTCCCTCCCCCCTCCCCCCACCCCACGACAGGTCCCGGTGTGTGATGTTCCCCTTCCTGTGTCCAAGTGTTTTCATTGTTCAATTCCCAACACCACATGTTCTCACTCATAGGTGGAAAAGTCCTACCATTTTGAAAAGTAGCAATTACATCTAGTACTGGCAAGAATGTAGGCTAATTGCAACACTTATATCTTGATGCCTAGGATAGAACTGATGCTACCACGTTGGAACTTCCAAAGCTAAACATATGTATACCCTATTTCTGAGTGCTATGTGAAACTATCTAAATGTCCATCAACATAAGGATAGACTAAGTAAATACACTATTTTGTAGTTAGGCTGTAGAAAACAATAGAGCAAAGATAAAGAACGAACTACTGCTTACATGCAATACCATGGATAAAACTCAAAGGCAAAATGTTGAGCAAACAAAACCAGGCATAAAAGAATAAAAACCGCATAATTCTAATCATCAAAAACAAGCAAAACTAACATAGTGGTATTTTAGGTCACAATAATAGTTATATATGAATATACGATATTTTATTGATGGGACATGAGAAAACCATCTGAATAATGGAAATATTGTAAGGTTTGGTGGTTTCATGGGTATATGCATCTTGACAAGGGAATGAATAAAATAAAAGCAAATGTAAAATTAAAATAAATTATGAATTAAT
The DNA here is from genome assembly GCF_000001405.40 of Homo sapiens. Taxonomy (NCBI): domain Eukaryota; kingdom Metazoa; phylum Chordata; class Mammalia; order Primates; family Hominidae; genus Homo; species Homo sapiens. The sequence goes on from NC_000010.11 coordinate 81,306,758, forward strand.
TTGGGAAAGTTGAATTCTGATTATAGACATTTGATTTAAGAAACTATTGTCAATTTCAACAGTTGAGATAATGGTGGTGGTGTTATATTAAACAGGTTCTTGCCATTTAAGTACACACACTTAGATATGCACAGCTCAAATGATATGATATCTGGGATTTGCTTCTTGATAATCTGAAAACATAGACTCCCAAAATATACAAAGCAGACAGTGACAGCATTGAATGGATAATTAAACTGTTCTACAAGAATATTTGGAGATTGTAATACACCAAATTCAGTAGTGTTCAGAACAACTACACAGATCAACAAGAAAAACAGACCTGAGCAACACTATAAACCAGCTAGACCTAACAGATACTTAGAGAGCACTTCATGCAACAAGATCACAAGAAGCATTCCCAGCTGAACCATATGCTAGGCCATAAAACAGGCCTCAACTAACTTAAAATACTTTAAATTATGCAAAGCACATGTTTTATAACTGTTAAGTAGTTAGATAGACATTAGCAGCTGGGAGGGGATGACAGAAGAGATCGGAAGGGCTGTCACTAAGACAGGCCCTGGCCCACCTAAGTCCAGCACCAAGATCACCCTAACTCCACCCTAACAGATGGAGTTTGTGGTAAAGTCTGTGGCTAGTGATAGATGTAGGAGACAGCCAAATGCTGCCCAGGTCATTGTGCACAGGGGGCTTGCCTAAACATGCCCATGGTGAAAAATTCTGTCCCTTAACACATGCATAGTAAGGGAAATAAATCAATGTGGAGTGGCTCAAAGGACCTGCACGTGCACTGGGAAAATGGGGTGGAGCCACCAGGAATTTGCACTTTGTGCAAGGGAGGAGCAAGACCTCTTCAGTGCACATGTGGTGCCCTGCTATTCAGTTCTATGAGGTGGAAAACCTGGGTGCAGGCCCCTCCTTTTGTTGAGAGTTTTCCTTTTTGCTTAATAAATTCTGCTCTTTTTACTTTTCAATGTGTCCACGTGCCTAATTTTTCCTGGTTGTGAGAGAAGCAGCTCGGTTTTAGCTGAACGAAAGAGCAAAAAGTCCTGCATCACTAGCACATCCTGGAGAAAAAAAGAACTGGAGCATTGATTAAAAATCCCCTAAAGTTGCATAGTGTGTCCAGAATTGGTAGGTTCTTGGTCTCACTGACCTCAAGACTGAAGCCGCGGACCCTGGCAGTGAATGTTACAGCTTTTTTTTTTTTTTTTTTTTTGAGACAGAGTCTTGCTGTCGCCCAGGCTGGAGTGCAGTGGCGCAATCTCGGCTCACTGCAGGCTCCGCCCCCTGGGGTTCACACCATTCTCCTGCCTCAGCCTCCCGAGTAGCTGGGACTACAGGCGCCCGCCACCTCGCCCGGCTAATTTTTTTGTATTTTTAGTAGAGACGGGGTTTCACCGTGTTAGCCAGGATGGTCTCGATCTCCTGACCTCGTGATCCGCCCGCCTCGGCCTCCCAAAGTGCTGGGATTACAGGCGTGAGCCACCGCGCCCGGCCAATGTTACAGCTCTTAAGGTGGCACGTCTGGAGTTTGTTCCTTCTGATGTTCGGATGTGTTCGGAGTTTCTTCCTTCTGGTGGGTTCGTGGTCTCACTGGCTCAGCAGTGAAGCTGAAGGCCTTTGCGGTGAGTGTTACAGCTCGTAAAAGCAGCGTAGACCCAAAGAGTGAGCAGTAGCAAGATTTATTGCAAAGCGCAAAACAACAAAGCTTCCACAGCGTGGAAAGGAACCCGAAGGGGTTGCCACTGCTGGCTCGGGCAGCCTGCTTTTATTCTCTTATCTGGCCCCACCCACATCCTGCTGATTGGTAGAGCCCAGTGGTCTGTTTTGACAGGGCGCTGATTGGTGCGTTTACAATCCCTGAGCTAGACACAAAGGTTCTCCACCTCCTCACCAGATTAGCTAGATACAGAGTGTGGACACAAAGGTTCTCCAAGTCCCCACCAGAGTAGCTAGATATAGAGTGTTGATTGGTGCATTCACAAACCCTGAGCTAGACACAGGATGCTGATTGGTGTGTTTACAAACCTTGAGCTAGATACAGAGTGCTGATTGGTGTATTTACAATCCCTGAGCTAGACATAAAGGTTCTCCAAGGCCTCACCAGAGTAGCTAGATACAGAGTGTCGATTGGTGCACTCACAAACCCTGAGCTAGACACAGGGTGCTGATTGGTGTATTTACAATCCCTTAGCTAGACAGAAAGGTTCTCCACTTCCCCACCAGACTCAGGACCCCAGCTGGCTTCACCCAGTGGATCCCGCACCGGGACTGCAGGTGGAGCTGCCTGCCAGTCCCTCGCCCTGCGCCTGCACTCCTCAGCCCTTGGGTGGTCGATGGGACGGGGCGCGGTGGAGCAGGGGGCAGCGCTCATCGGGGAGGCTCGGGCAGCACAGGAGCCCACGGAGGGGGTGGGAGGCCCAGGCATGGCGGGCTGCAGGTCCCGAGTCCTGCCCTGTGGGAAGGCAGCTAAGGCCCCGCGAGAAATCGAGTGCAGCGCCAGTGGGCTGGCACTGCTGGGGGACCCAGTACACCCTCTGCAGCCGCTGGCTAGGGTGCTAAGCCGCTCATTCCCTGGGGCCGGCGGGGCCGGCAGGGCCGGTCGGCCGCTAGCTCGGAGTGCAGGGGCCGCGGAGCCCACGCCCACCCGGAACTTGCCCTGGCCCGCCAGCACCGCAGGCAGCCCCAGTTCCCGCGCGCCTCTCCCTCCACACCTCCCCGCAAGCTGAGGGAGCGGACTCCGGCCTTGGTCAGCCCAGAAAAGGGGCTCCCACAATGCAGCGGTAGGCTGAAGGGCTCCTCAAGTGCTGCCAAAGTGGGAGCCCAGGCAGAGGACGCGCCCAGAGCGAGCGAGGGCTGTGAGGACTGCCAGCACGCCGTCACCTCTCAATAGGCCCAGTCCATCTAGGCCAGAACCCCAGGTAACCCTATCCTCATTATACAGTGATTATAATAAAATTTACATGTGCTTTTGCCCCCTTAAGTGGGCTTTCCTTAATGAATTACAGATAAAAACATGCGCAGTTTAACTTCAGTTATATAACCACAAACTCCCCATCAAATGACATCATCCTGCTACTCAAATCCAGCCTAAGCCTCAACTTCTCCCCACAAACTGGATAAAAGCACCCTGAGCTCTGTAAAGAGGAGCTGATTTCTGTGAAGTGAAATCAGCCCACTCTCTCTCTGAGAATGTATTACTGAGCTTTGATGAACTTTGCTTTGAGCTTGCATTTTGGTGTTAGTTTGCAGTTCTTCGCGCACTACCACAAGAACTGAGATTGCTGGTCCAGAACTCTAGCTCTGTTGATCTCCTTGGTTAAAGAATTCATCCCAAAGCAGAATTCTCAGTAACATAACCACAATGCAATGAAATTAGAAACTAATAAGAAAAGTAAACTGGGATGTTCACAAATATGTAGAAATTAATAACCCACTCCTAAATAACCAATCTCAGAAAGAAATCACAAGAGAAATTAAATTAAAGGAATAAAAATGGAAAGTAAAATTTACAGGATTAACTAAAATGGTGCTTAGGGGGAAATTCATAGCTGCAGACTCCTATTTTATTTTTCTTAAAGAGCTATATCTCATTTTTCTTACCCTCTTGAGTTCTTGTAACCACCTTTCTACTCTTTGTTTTCACATGTTAGAAATTTTTAGATTCCACATATAAGTGAGATCATGCAGTAGCTTCCTTTATCTGCCTGACTTATTTCACTTAACATCTTGCCCTCTAGTTTCATCCATGTTACCTTAATGGCAGAATCCCCTGTTTAAAGCTGAAAAACTATCTCATTGTGTATATATATCATGTATATACAATATGTATACCTCTATACACATTTCATTGTATATATATTACAGCTTCTTTATCCATTCATCCACCAACAAACACTTAGGTTGTATCCATATTTTGGCTATTGCCAATATATTTGTGAACCAGATGAAATGGACACAAATCATAGCAACAGACTCTAGAAGAAACAAAAAAATCTGAATATATGTGTAACAAGTAAAAAAACTGAGTTAGTAATCAAAACATTTCCAGAAATAAAAGCCCAGAACCAACTTCACTAACGAATTCCACCAAATATTTTAAGACAAAATGACACCAATCCTTCCTGAACTCTTCCCAAAAATAGAGGAGGGGACACATTTGAACCCATTCTATGAGGCCAGTGTTACCTGACGCCAAAATCAGGCAAAAACCTTGAAAAGAAAACTATAGAACAATAGCTCCTATGAATATGGACACAAAGATCTTCAACAAAATATTTGCAAACTGAATCCAGCAACATGTAAAAAGGATGATATGCCATGACCAAGTGAGACTGAGAAGATGCAACATTGGTCCTACATAAAAAAAAAAGCGATTTAATACACCAAATTCATAGAATAAAGGACAAACAATCACATAGACATATAATATAGATCAATGGAATACAATTTACAGTCCATAATAAATAAATACATACAACTATAGCCAATTGATTTTCAACAAGGGTCCTGAGAACATTCAATGGGGGAAAAAATAGTTCCTCAAAAATGTAAGCAAAGAGTATTCATATAACCCAACCATTCCACTTCCAGGACTAAACCCCAAAGAGTTGAAAACATATGTTCACATGAAGACCTGTACACAAATGTTCTTAGCAACAAAATATGTGGAAACAACTCAAATGCCCTTTAATTGATGAATAGATAACAAAATATGAAATATCCATTGGAATGATATGAAAAGAATGAAGTATTGAAACATGCTTTAATGCGGATGAACTTTGAAAACACTGTATTAAGTGACAGACTCAGAAGCAAAAGACTACATGTCATACGATGTTCAAAGTAGACAATTCATAAACACAAAAATAGGCTAGTGGCTGCCAAGAGCTGGAGGGAGGAGCTAATGAGAGTCACTGCTAAAAGCTATACATTTTTATTTTTGCGGGGGGTGGTGATGGTGACATCAAACTATTAAGCGTACTAAAAACATACTAAATTATATATGTTAAAAGAGTGAAATTTATGATGTGTAAATTACGTCTCAATATAACAAAAAAATAATATGGACTACTAGGGTGTTAGATTTTGGAGGGCCACAAATTAAACAAGATTGATAATGAATTAATCACTTAGGAGACATGATAATGGGTGTATATGTTTCCATTGTATTATTATTTTAACTTCTTTGTATTTGGAAATTTTACGATAAAAATAAGTAAGTAGCAAAACGTTATTTGCAGAGGTTGCATAGAAACGTATAAATATTTAATTCCCATCATGGTTCCTAATTTTATAACACTTACACTTATACTAAACATCCAAATAGAGTTGAAATGTTGTAGCTAATTCATTGTAAAATGAAAGCTTTACAGATGAACCAGTAGACACCTAGAAATCTTGATTCTGGAATCTGGACCTATATAGTCTATTTATCTCTATCATTTCAATTCCTCTTTATGCCATCCCATTATCTATTTCATTACCCGTGAAGATTTTAATCTATGGTATCCTGGCCATTTTACATAAGAAATTGCTATACGTTACCTTCCACCTATAAGTTGAAAAAATATTTTGACAAAAAGTATATAGTGCATTTTTTAGAAACTGTTTTCATTTTCTGTGTTTTTAGTTGTCTCTGAGAATCAAAATCTAATAGAAAAAAAGTGATAAGTGCTCTAAAAATTTTTACATCCAAATAACAAAGTTAATTTGTTGACATAATTGTAATATAACATAGCAATAAAGTACCTCTGTAATTCTGCTATCTTAACCTACTCATATTATTTAAATATATGGATGAATGAAACATTTATATCTAACATACTAAGATTTCAGCCAAGTGGCAGGCACATTTTATGAAAAATGAAAAATTTATTTGAGCATCTGCCTGCTTCCAAATAGCCAGATGTTTTTCATTAGACAACAAAGCTTCCAACAAATTTAACTTTAATACCTTTATCACCCATCAGGAGATTTTAATATCTCTCTCTTTCTGAATAACCAAAACCAAGCAACATGCACAAACACTAAATTAAATGTCTAACCCCTCAAAATGTTATGGAGTCTTTGGTGGAGTTATTGTATCACTTCTGTGTTAGGTACATCAAAATAGTATTTGGAGAGTTTCTGAAGAATACCTTTACTTAAGCTATTTCTACCTGGCAGAATAAAACTGGAATCGCATTCCTAATTATATTCTTTCTTTATTATATGGTTATCTAAATTATACATAAGTGAATTACATCGTGAAAGTATTTTGGAAAGATAAAGTGAACTTTATTAAATACCTCTAGTTTTCTAGGTACATTGCTAATCCATATGTTTTAGGATCACCTGCATCACACATACCCGAGGTGTCGATTTTAAAGTGCACCACTCCAGACCCACTGAACCCAAGTCTCTAGGGAAAGGCTGCAAAATTGCATTAAAAAGATGGTGAGACTGAAGCACTGTGATATTTCACATTTTTAATAATTAGTTTTCCATTTCTGATAAACATGCAAGTAAGAAAAAAATTAGAGATAAAGAAATAAAACCTCAAATTTTGTCTTACACTTGGACCTAGCAAATGGCAAATCCAACTAAAAACAGTGTCTTCTGAGTTCTAAAACATGTAAAATTTAATCTCTGCACAGGTAAATTTTGTATTACATATTTTTGAGAAATTTTTTATATCTGTTTGTTTATAGGTATATTTTTCCTTTTTGGAACAAAATGGAGCAGTTTCTATTTTTACATAGTTGTTTATGTTCTTTCTCTTAAAAAATCATTATCTTTGAATTGCAAATAGAGACATCATTAATGAGGTTAGCAACTGGCATTTACTGTCAAAGTTTGCCACATGATATGACAATTCAAGCGTATATGTTGAATTCTAAGCTCTTGAGCTGAAATTTAAAGGGAGAAAATAAATCAAAATTCAAAGCATAATATACATTAGCTTTGAAAAAGAAATAGTGCTATGAACAAGCCAGAAACTCTGCTACATTTCTAAGACAGTTCAATTATGTTAAAAAAAAAGCAAGTTACAAGTTTGACACCATTTTACATTAATTTTAAGAACATGCAGCAACACCATGGTTTTTGAATTCATGCATTTCTGTTAGGTTCATAAAAATGCACATAAAAATATGTACCAATTTCAGTGCAGCAGAATAGTGGCTTCCCCTAAAGAAGACTGAAAAATTGTGAAAAAATTTCTATTTTTAAATTCTATTAAAAAAAACAACAACCCAGAATTGAATATAGCAGCACCTACATTTATTAAATGTGGATAGTAAGTAGGTGGCTATTAACTGCATTTTCTTTCGCATTGTTCTAGATACAGCAGGGTCTTTCCCCTAGTAAGGAGTTGAGAAGGCTTTTATGGTGTTTAGAGAGAGAGAAGGCATTTCACCCTTAGCTGACATGAGAATCATGGAGAAAACTTACTCACTACAACAGTTAAATTTTTTAACCCATTACCGATTTGGGGTTAGAGTCATCATTTCCTTCTCACAGATATTTGAAGCTCCAAACAAAAAAACACTGTTATGATTTCAGTGTCCCAATAGAGCCTGGTAAGACCAATGGGCAGTCATCAGGGGTCAAATACCAACAATAGGAAGGATTTCAGGAGCTGCAGAGACTACTACACTAGAGTAGCACTTCATGGGTGGTGCCCACATACACTCTTCACTTCTACAGATAATGTGAAATACAGCAGGATCCTTGTCAAAGCACAGTGATCTCAGGATCATTTCTACCAGTGCCAGAAGTGAAGTAGCTAATTTGGGACTGCTGGGATTGTTATAAACTAATTTGGACTTCGTAGCAGAGCAATGTGATTCTTTGCTCAACCAAGTCTCCCTCTCCCTTAGGAAGTCAGTTTAGACACATATCACAGAGCATGAAATAAAACCTGCGAGTGCATCAGTGTGAAAGAAAACTGGTGTCACTGCATTTGGAAAATGGTCTATCATGAAGCCAGAAGTATAGGCAAGAGACAGATTGTGCAGAGACTTGTGGACAAGAAGTGACTTGTTATTTATTCAAACAGCAAAGGAAAGAACCATAGCAGTTTTAAGCAAAGGAAAGTTGCAGACAAACTGATGCACAAAAAGATTAAATCATTCCCTGAAGATCACATGGATAAATGGCAAAGAGATATTCAAATTAAGAAAGTCTGACTCTGGAATCCACTATTATAACTACCGAGTGAATTAAAAATTTAGACATCTTTAGGATGAGAATCTTTTTGACTTGATGATTTATGGGGCGTAAGGAAGAAGGGAATGTCAAGAAGTTGGGAAACATAATTCACGTTTCTGGTTCTGTGCAGACCTAATTTCACATGTTTTTTGCTAAGATTAGAAAATATATACATAATACCAAGCAATGCATGGGGGAATTCAGTATCAGAAAATAAAATTTATGAATGTAGTTTGCGGATCCTTTCTTCTGTTCCAACATAATTTTTTATAGGTCACGTATTCAGTAAGCAAGTGGTTTTTCTGGTTTCCAAAATATGAACAGATGACAGCATTCCTATTTTTAAAATTTCAACTTAATATGAAGATCCTACTGTGAACTCATTTCTCACATTGCCTATCATTTATTTTTAATCTAAGTGAATTAAAAGCCATAAAGCTGAAAATATTTTTAGTTCATTCATGTTCTTTTACAACTCAACTCTACCCGTTCACCAATCTTGTCACTTCTAACACGTATATTGCTTGGATATCCCTGTCATTTCCATTTCCGCTGCATTTATATTGAGCTTAAAAAATAAATAAATAAGAATCTTATCACTTCTCTCATCGGATTATGGTCTTTCAATCCACTCACTGCTTTCAGGCAAGAATTACAAAACCTTATCATACTTCCCATCAGGGTCTTCACACTCTGATCCCAGTTTACTGCTGTAACCCCAAGTCCCATTGCTCCTTCCTCCATGAAGTGTAGGCTCTGTTCACCAACCAGTTTCATGTTTCATATTACTATGCCACATAAAACCTTCTACAACCTCACATTGATGGTATAAATCAAAATCTTTACCACAGATAGTAAGGAATTTCCATTCTATGGTCCCTGAGTAACTTTATGATTTTTTTTTTTTTTTTTTTTTTTTTTGGAGACAGAGTCTTGCTCTGTCACCCAGGCTGGAGTGCAGTGGTGTGATCTTGGCTCACTGCAACCTCCACCTCCTGGGTTACAGAGATTCTCTTGCCTCAGCCTCCCAGGTAGACGGGACTACAGGTGCCCACCACCACGCTGACTAATTTTTTTTGTATTTTCAGTACAGACAGGTTTCACCATGTTGGCCAGGCTGATCTCGAACTCCTGACTTCAGGTGATCCGCCCCCCCTTGGCCTCCCAAAGTGCCAAGGTTACAGGCGTGAGCCACTGCCCCTGGCCTATGATATCATTTTGTACCACTTTTGATCTCTCTCGGTGCTCCAGAAATACCAGAATTCTACCTGTTTCTTGAATACATCTTTATGCAATGGTGAATAAATGACTGGACCCCTTGCTGTTAGTTATTTTTTATGCCTGTAAAATGTCACCTCTATATAGCCCATCCCCTCACTTCAGTTTGCTTTACTCCAGCATGCCTTTTTCTTTTCTTCCTAACTGAAATATCTCCATCCATTTACCTTGCATGCATTATGACTTGATATCCCATCTGCACATGTCAATGGAATGCAAGTTTCATTAGAGAAGAGAATTTTTTTTTTAAACCTCCGTATCTCCACTCAAAAAAGTGTCTGGCAAAGATGTTCTCATAAATTTTTTTGAGTAATGAATGTACCATGATGAAAGAACTGGCCAAGAATTGCAAGGGAAAAATAAAATTTTAACCATCTTTTGTCATGGACATAGAAGTTAAATTGCTGAATCAAATATTAGCAAATGAAATACACATACAATGACTAACTAAAATTTATCTGGAAATGTGGAGATGGGTTAACATCAGATAACCAATGTATATAATCTACCATATTAATAGATTAAAGGAGAAAGTACATGCTAATGTAGTGAAAAACAAACGATATTTCAAAATTGAAAATTAAAAGTATTGAGCAATATTTAATAATCAATATGTGAAAACCTTATTATACTGGATAAAAGAGGATGTATTTAATAAAAGGCATTTATCAAAGATTCATAATAAATATTGTACTTTATATTGAGTATTTAAATGCATTTCTTATTCAATCAAGAAACAAAACAGATATATCTGCTATTTCCACACTGATCCAATCAATATAACATTGGAGACCCTTGGCCATTCAGTAAGATTATAAGATACAGAAAGAGGTAGAAATTAAAGCTATAAGTATTTAAAAAAACCCAAAGCTTTCCTACTTATATTAATAGATGACAGGATTCTTTATATGAAATACAAAATCTAAAACTCTGGCAAATAAAGAGTTTAGTGTTTCTGTGTGTGTGACTGAAAACTAATTAAATATAATACAGTGTAATAGAAAATGTGCTCTCATGTGATGCCCATAATATGGTACCTAACAAAAGATCTTTTTGTATCTACCAAAAGACCTCTTATGGAGAAAAGTTGAAAATAACTACATTCATAGGTAAGAAGATGCAATATTATAACTATATCCCCAAATTAATTAAAATTTAATGCATTTTCAATTCATATCCTATTTATTTAAAAACAATTTCTGTAGTTTTTGGGGTACAGGAGGTCTCTGGTTACTTGGATAAGTTTTTTAGTGGTGATGTCTGAGATTTTAGTGCACCCATGACCCACGCAGGGTACACTGTACCTAATAAGTAGTCTTTTATCCCTCACCCCCTCCCAACATTCCCCCCGAAGTCCCCGAAGTCCACTAGCTTCTGCTTATACCCTTGCATCCTCATAGTTTAGCTCCCACTTGTGAGAACATAAAAATATCCTATTTTTTTAAAAAGAACTTATTTTGTAAATCCTAACATTTATACAGAACAGTACAGAGAAAAGAATATTTATAAAATTTTGAAGAAAAGCAAACTACAAGATCTTGACTTAATGACAGATTTTTATAGTTATAGCTATTGAGACAGTATTTAAGCATAGATAAACAACACAAAGTGGAAATCCCAGAGACAAGTTCATGAATATGTGGGATATTGATGAATTAATAAATAAACAGGCATAACATGTAAAGGCCGTTGAATCTTTTTGAAAGATCTAAAAACAAATTTTATTAGAAAGACAATGTATTTGCTTCTTTTTTTGCTTATTTGCTTGCTGGTTAATTTGCTTAGCCCTGAAATGTCTTGGGAATTTTCACTGCAGTTCTTTAAAATAGGTGGTGTTTGCTAATTCAATCTCTAATACCTTATGGTAACTCACACACTTATACATTCCCTCCATCCTTAGGAGAAAATCTGAGATAATTCAAGAACAAAATTATTTCTTTATAGAGTCAGGACTAATGAATCTTAGAATCCCCCTCTTTCAAAGACTCATTCCCTTTGTTCTTTTACCTCTGATGCGGTGTGATAGAGTTCAAGAAAATACTGATGTGTGGGAGACCTAAAAACCTTTAGGAAGCAGCCTACGAAGAGACAGGGAGGAACATTTCACAATCTTCTTTCACTCTAAGAGTTAACGTAATGGATAAAAATAACTTTATTCAAATGCCAATCCATTTCAGGGATACAGAAAATCTAAATGAAACATTGAATCAAATATCAATGGTTGGTAAAAGTGCTTATTTTGCAGGGGATTTTTTTGTGCTCTATGTAGAATTGCTGATCCCCCCCATGATAGACAATATCATTTCCAGTTTTGAAACTGGAAAACTGATGCTATCAAGTTGTGTTAAATACCTATGCTCACACATTTACATGAAAAACCTGGAATTTGATTTTGAGTTTGCCTGTCTTCAAAGCTTGTACTATTTCCACCCCAAATAAAAATTTATGACAGAAGGATAGTCTTCTTTAAGAAAGAACAGCATCTTTGGAAGCACCGAAGTTTAACATAGAATGGAAAGTCATTTCTTTCTGCCAATTAGGTCTATGTATATCCCATGAGGAAATGATGACATCCATAAGCATATAAAATTAGAAAAAATGACTCAGTCTTGGCAAGAAATATTAAAGACATTTTATTTTGTGTATTAATGTCATCACACCACTTAGAAGTCAGAACAAAACTGTGAGTCCAGGAAACCGATGACTCAAAAATAAAATCCCTATCATCCTGCAGGTAGAACAGTTACCATATGAGGAAAGTGGTACATTTCCCTAATCTTTTCCTATAACAATTTCATATACCTTTTGTTTGACATTTTCACATTTCTCTAAATTGTAAGTTGGGGCATCAATCAAAACATATAAATCATTTTTTGAAAATTAAATATCTAAAGGATAGATAACATTAAAAGTTTTCTTTTAATGTGGAAATACAAAGAATTTCCAGGAAGTATAGAAAACTGAGCAACTGCATCCAAATTTCCTCCTCATATATGGACTTGGAATACTTTATACAGTATGAAAGTAGAAATTAAAGTCCCAGCGCTTTGATAGGCCGCAGTGGGAAATGTAGCTTGAGCCCAGGAGTTCCAGACCAGCCTGGGCAACACAGTGAAACCTCATCTCTACACACACACACACATACACACACACACACACACACACACACACACATCTATATTAGTGCTAGCAATTAGAGAAGGAGGATCTCCAACTTCTGAAAACCTCATTTAGTTTATTTTAATGCAAAGATTGTTATACTGAAAGAAGAATGCATTGGGTCAAACTGTGTTTTAAGTGAAAGAGAATCTTACAAAAATGCATAAACTTTTGCTGTGACTGGACAGGTCAGCTGTGGGGAAGTTGGGATAAATATCAGGATAAATACTTCCTGATTTATTTATCAGGAAGTATTTATCTATCAGGGCAGCATCAATGTTTCTGAAAAGTACCTTAGATAACAACATATTCCTCCATCTTATGATTGACACTGAAAGCCGTGTGTGTGTGTTTGTTGTTGTTGTTGTTGTTTTCTGTTTTTGTTTAGTCAGTCTACTTGATGGCTGTCCTAACAAACAAGAAAAGGGCAAGGGCACCCTTGAGCAAGGGGGAAATTATTAAAGTTATGAAAAGGAAAAGAAACCTTTCAGAATATGAGAAAGCCCCTTTCAACTCCTAAAATAGATAAGTACAAATTTTTTCTCCAAAGAAAATAAATAGAAAAATTATCTGTCATAGGAAAACCAACAGAGGATCAAATTGAGGAACCAATATGTCTACATATGTTTCAAAAAACAAAAGAGAAGATCACTTTAAACATTTTGGCATGAAGCTTCCCCACCAGAACAAAAAACATTTTGAAAAGAACAATCATGACTACCTGAATAGACAAAAATGAGATGAAATAATACTACATTAGAAAGGACCTAAGTGCATATGATAAAAAACAAAGAAGAGAAATAATATACATATGCAAGTCAAAAAACAGGTTTTTAACAATAAATTAAACATGAATATGAGAATTCTCGACATATTTTTTCTAATTTAACTTCATTGTGGTCAGAGAATATATATATTCTGCAAAATTTTTAGTTATTAGAAATATATTGAGACTTACTCTATGACACAATTTATGGTTAATCTTTACAAGAAAAATGTATCACATACATTTTAGAAGAATATATATTCTGTAGCTGTTGGGTATGTGTTCTATATAAATCAATATCAAAGAAATGAGAACATACATCACAGAAAAACCTGAGCACAAATATTCATAGCAATGTTATTTATTTTAGCCAAAAGGTGGAAACAACTCAAATTTCCATCATTGATGAGTGGATAAATAAATGGTGGCATATCCAAATAATAATTTATTACTGGACAATAAAAAGGAATGATACTGACATGAACTACAACATAGATGAACTTTGTGCTAAGTGAAAGAAGCCGATCACAAAAGGTCATATATTGTATAATTCTATTTAAATAAAATACCCAGAATAGGTAAATATGTAGAGACTGAAAGTAGATTGGTCATTGCTTAGGACTGGGTAAAGAAGGGGATAGGGATTAACTGAAAATGATTATACAGTTTCTTTCTGGGTTGACAAAAATGTTTGAAAATGACATTGTGATGATGTTTGCACAACTGAAATACAACTAAAAATATTGACTTGTACACATTAAATAAATGAGAGGTATGATTTGCACATTATATTTCAACACAACTATAAAGAAAAAAGTCAATTAGGTCAAAGTATTTGATGTTTACTCAAGTATTCTATATGCCTAATGTAGTCTATTTTTTTTTAAGAGATACTTAGAGAGGAACCTTAATATTTCTAACTATGTTTTAGAATTTTTCTAGTTATCTCTTTAGTTTTCTAGTTTACGTTTCACATATTTTGAAGCTTTTTAATTAATTTAAATATAGGGTTATTATGTGGTTAAAGCTTTGAAATTATCATCAAATGACTAAAAATATATATATATAATGAATATCAAATATATAACATACAATATACTATATAATTTCCAGTTATATTATTTTGTAAAATGAAGATAAGTAAAATGTTTAATACTTAGTTTAATACTTAGTAAAATGAGAATAAAACTCCATATATTTGTATTAACAATATTATATACAATTTTCAACATATATGCATTTGATGAGGATATACTAAAACACAAAAAGAAGCACATAAAAGGTCTTAACAGACAGCTATGTGATTCATAATGTATAAATATTTGTATGTTTTTCATTTAGAAAAAATAAAAATGTAATTACATTTAAAACCCTCAAATTAACATAATTTTACATATGTGCCCCTATACACATATCCTGGTAAGAAATTGAAATATTAAATTTTGTGATGAACTTTCTGGTCCTCTTGGCAGTTATATGCCTTATGTTAAAAATTAACAATTTCAATTAGTAATATAGTTTTTCAGAGTAAGGAAAGCACAGTAAAGAAATTTGAGATAAAGAACAAATTAAACTCATTCCATGTTCCACTAACATTTCACAAACATCTTTTGACTTTGATTTATACCTTTTTATCTGTTTTATTGTTTCTTAAAATATAATTTCATTCAAAAATGTAGGTTTTTACGTTCAATATTACATTATAATATTCTACCCATGTTGTTAATTATTCTTTTTTTTTTTTTTTTCTTGAGACGCAGTCTCGTTCTGTCGCCCAGGCTGGAATGCAGTGGCTCAGTCTCGGCTCACTGCAAGCTCCGCCTCCCGGGTTCTCACCATTCTCCTGCCTCAGCCTCCAGAGTAGCTGAGACTACAGGCGCCTGCCACCACGCCCAGATAATTTTTTGTATTTTTAGTAGAGACGGGGTTTCACCGTGTTAGCCAGGATGGTCTTGATCTCCTGACCTCGTGATCCACCAGCCTCGGCCTCCCAAAGTGCTGGGATTACAGGCGTGAGCCACCGCGCCGGGCCTAATTATTCTTTTCAAATATTAGCAATATGCATAAGGTTTAGAAATGATTAAATTTATTTTTTTGAGATTTTTAGTTTTTTTGCTCTTTTTTTGTTGTCGTTTGTTTTCTGAGACAGTCTCGCTCTGTTGCCCAGGCCGGAGTGCAGTGGTGAAACCTCAGCTCACTGCAACTGCTGCCTGCCAGGTTCAAGCAACTCGTGTGCCTCAGCCTCCTGAGTAGCTGGAATTACAGATGCGTGCCACCACACTCGGCTAATTTTTGTGTTTTTGGTAGAGGTGGGATTTCATCATCAACATTGGCCAGGCTGGTCTCGAACTCCTGACCTCAAGTGATCTGTCCACCTCGGCCTCCCAGAGTGCTGGAATTACAGGCGTGAGCCACTGCGCTCAGCCGCTTTTTTGTTCTTTAAATAATGCTATACTGGATGCTTTTTTTTTTTATCCTAAGGATTTTTGTTCTATATTTAGTTTTTGTTTTTCTTTAATCTCAGAACTGCTTTTCTTAACCTCTATTTCTTGGTGAAGTACTGCAGATGCTTAGATGTCTATATTAAGGAAGGGTATACGACTACAATGAATAAAACCATATTTATACACAAATTAGTTATTTAAAATTTGAGATCAAGAATCAAGTAATAGTAATGTTTTTAAAAAATGTATTAGCTACTACTTAGATTAAACCCCAAACCTATATATAAATATGTATATAAGCATATATATATAATGCAAATACAAATTTTTATGTGTCTGTGTATTATCATTACAAGAATAAAATCAATGTTTTCATATATATATTTGGGATCTGGAGGGACCTTAATATTGTTTTACTATGGATAACAATATCAATTTTGATAATGTAAAAGGTTGGCATTAACTCTGTATTAACATCCTGTATACATTTATTTGGGGATATAAACCCACTATTGCAGGTCAATGAAATAATTTTCTTTTAATAATTAAGTACTGTGTTATTTTTATACATAGGTAATTCCAATATATTTTGGCATTGAAATTTCAGCCAACAAAAAAGATAATTGGGAATATTTTGTAAGACTCAGTCTGAGAAATAATTATATTACTAGTAATCATTAATTAAAATTAAGGTCAATTTTATACAAAAGTATTTGAGAACTTCTTTATGCATTTCTTCATAAGAATATGACATGCTTTGTTAAATATGCCATTACCATTTAGCTGTTACCAATGTTGCACTTACATTTTACTAAGATTTAACTTAAACTTTGTTAAATAAAATAAATGTATCTCTCATTTCACAAATGATTGGCAAAATGTATCAGCCTTTTAGGACTTCATTAATCCTAAATGACTTATTATAAAATTTATTTTCTTTTGGTTTGGTTTAAAAAGTAAAATTTTAAAGATGACAATAGACAAGATAAGTATATGAAATGGCAATGAATTATTATTTATAGCATAATAAATATATATTGGAAATTGTAGTAGAAGACTTGAGTTCTACTCTTACTTACTAGACAAAAGTATGTGAGTACACAAGGGGAAACAGTTCTGAACATGGAAAAGTGTTTATCCTCTGGAGACATAAAAATGCAGGCTAAATAAACTTAGGGCAAACTTTTACAATTATAAGTCAGAAATTAAATAATAACATAATCCAGTGTTAGAAGTGTTTGTTAAAATTGTTACACACTGTTTTGTAACATGAAAATAAACATCAGAAGGCAGAAGTTATTGATAGTTTTTCTGAAATTGGGAATGCTCATTTGTGAATCTTGTCCTAGAGTCAGTAACAATGAAGACAACAAAAATGTATACTCATCAAATGTAATTAAATTTTTGTAAATCTAATGTATTATTAACCTAATATATATCACAATCTGAATAAAAAAGAAACCATTACAAATGTTTAACTAGATGTATTAGAATTAAATTATTATGATATTCTGTCTCTCAGACTAATGTAGTGCTTAGCAAGATAATTGCAAACATTATGCTTCATCACAGATAATTTTTACATATTAATATTGGAAATGTAATATAGTATGTTCACTACAAATTCAACTGCGTAGATATATCTCTAAGTGATTATATACATAGATGAACATAAAGCAAATTATTAGATCAATGGAGAAATAAGGAAAGACAGAATTGGAGTGACTAATATAATATCAACATAAATTATGTTATGGTGATTAAGTTATTGATAATTGATATGTTTCGGCATTTTTTTAATGTTACATTTTTGAATTAAAATATTAAGCTAGGTAATATGATGCACCAACAAAAATTTAAAAGTAATAGAAAGAAAGTAGTGAAGTGAATGCCCATTTTTTTGCAGTTCTGATTACATATTTTTGTTTTGCAATTCCAATTAAATATTTTCGTTGCTTTTCAAAAATAAAACTGAATGCATTTTTAAAAAGCACACAACTAGCTTGCAGGTAATTACAGAGATTATTTTTTCAATTATATTTCAGACTCTTACTACATGTTTTCAAGCAATGTGCAGAAAAGGTGTAAACCAAATCTTCAGCAATTATGTGAATTAGCAAAATAAATAAGGTGATTACACAGTGTTACTCATAAAATAGTACGTTTTTTGTACTTTAATTTGAAATATGGAATCAAGTAACTATATTGCCTTTAGGAGAGCTATATCTTAACTTTCATATAGACAATTATACATCTCAAACAGTATCTCTCTTATAAAAAGAAACTCTCCAGTCCAGATTGCTGTTATAAGGATTTATAAATAACTTGAGACCCTCCTACAGAAAAAATATCAGTTGTAGTTGTATCAACAAAAGGCATATTGAATGCTGATAAGCTAAACTGAATCTCCAGAGCTGAGAAAAGCTTAAATCAGTCTATTTTGATAGAATATATATGGAGGAAAAACCATTTATTAGAATTGTATTCTAAAATGACCAATACTTTTTATGAAAAATTTAATTTCTGGGAATGCTTTTTAGGAGCCCCCAAAATAAAAGATTATTAGTTGAATTACACACTCTGGGTCTTTTATTAAAAATTCTATGTCTTTTACAAGTAAAGAAAATGAAAATGTTCTGGGACAAATTTTTTAACAATATACCAATTTTTGAAAAGCAGAGGATAATCTCATTTTAGCTAATATATTTTTTAAACAAAGAAAAATAAATCTAGATGTAGGAATTGCACAGGTGATCTTGGGTGTGAATACAATTTTTGTTGTTTTTGAAAATTTTAGTTTCTGTGTTTTCTAATTTTATGCAATCACATTTACAGATTTTCTGATAATAAACTCATTGAAACATCACAATATAGCACGGGTTTTTGTGCATAAATGAGAATCTTGAAGTTTTTTAAAATTTTGTGATATCATGTATAGTATTTCTTTACTTTCTACTTTTATTTAAAAATAAAATTATGGGTCAGGTGTGGTGGCTCACGCCTGTAATCCCACCATTTTGGGAGGCTGAGATGGGCAGATCACGAAGTCAGAAGATTGAGACCATCCTGGCTAGCACAGTGAAACCCTGTCTTTACTAAAAATACAAAAAAAAAAAAAATAGCCGGGCATGGTGGCGGGAGCCTGTAGTCCCAGCTACTACTACTACTACTACTACTCGGGAGGTTGAGGCAGGAGAATGGCATGAACCCGTGAGGCAGAGCTTGCAGTGAGCCGAGATCGCGCCACTGCACTCCAGCCTGGGCGACAGAGAGAGACTCCGTCTCCAATCAATCAATCAATCAATCAATCAATCAATAAAACAAAAAAAATTACGATACAAGAATTTTCTACTCAGCCGAGAACTACTAAATATGAATGAATTAAAAAGCTGCCACTCATACAACCTCACTGAAAAAAAAAAAGAATTGAAAAAAGTACTTTACCTACGTAAAAACAATTCATAATTTAGGCCTTAATAAAATGGAAGCTCTAAAAGAAGTGTCTGTTAGTAATTAAACAAATATGTTAAGTGTAATGTCAATTAACTGTGTTGGTAGAAAAACTCAATATGATAAGAGATAAAAGAAGAGCAAGAAAACACATTCTCATCATATAGTTTTAAGTTTTGAGGTTATTACAAATTATGGTGTGTTGGTTTGGGGATGGAAATAATGGCATGTTAAATTCTTCATTTTTCAAGGGTGCTGTAAATTGATAATGCGTTATTCTTGTAATTGTTTTCTTTGCAAAATAAGGGCTGAAATAAACTTTTGGGCTATTTCATATACATATTTTACAAAATCAAATTAAGATAAAAATTTAAAATTACTGTGGGTAGGAGAAAAGAAATAAACAAGCAAAAAGTTACAGATTTAATACATTTTTAAAAGGAAACCACCTTACATTGACTGATTCCCTTTATAAAGATTGTTTCTTGGAGCAATGGGGCCCAAACCAGATTAGTACAGATTGAGGTGGCTGAGAAATACAATCAGTGAGTATAAGTGCATCTTTCAAAATTTAACGTAGGTATTTTGTTGGCACTAATCACTACTTAGAAAAATCATACATTTAGAGCTGTATTCAAAATTTTTACGAAAATACATTTCAAAAGTAATAATGATTTAAATATTTAAATATAAGGAAATTCTGATCTCAGCCCCATTTGATAGATTGAAGGTATAGTAGGCCTCCACTAACTGCTCTGAATTTGACAAAAATGATAAAAATACATTTATAAAAATATGCAAAACAAGTAGAGGTGCTCTAAGTTCACCACAGACAAAGCAAAGCCTGAAAGACAGCTGACAAGATCTGAATGAAGCACGGAATCAAGCTCTAAAGAGCTGGGAAAGTACTATCGTAGAAGGTAAGACCTTTATTGGCCAATACATAGAATGTTGAGTATGTACCTGGGAGAGGAGCAGAATCATCAACTCTTGTTGGGTTGTTCCAACAAAAGCTGCTAACAGTGTCAGCCCATCACCATTCCCACTCTGTCTCCTCCAGCTAGATAGCAGCAACTGGTAATGGGATTTTGGTGCTTGTAGTGACCAGAACTTACCCTATATTTCAGCAATAACAAATTACTTAAGATATGTATAAAATAACTGTGCAATCTTTTTATTTAAAACTATAAAATAAATGAAAGATTACAAAACTAGGACTGTCAAATAGAGACATTTGCCATGTTTCTAGATTTAAGGATGTAGCAATTATTAGTTATTCCACATTAGTTAATATAATATCATATAATTAATATGCTATACTATATAATAATATGATATGATCCATTCAATTTCTGTCAAAATCCCACCTCGAATTTTCACTTGACTCAGCAAATGAATTCTGATAGCAATGTACAGAACTACGTATGGAAGAGGAGCTCAGTATTAAAATGTTGAAACTATAGCAGGCATGTACAAGTACTACATAAATATTTCTTCAATGAAGGCAAAAGTTAATAAATCCCTTCTTAAAAGTGTTGTTACGAGTGTTAATTGTGATAACATATTTGGAAGTGTTTCATAAGTTCTATTAAACTGTTATTGATATCATCTTTAGCTTAATTGTGGTTAAGATTATTTTTACTACAATTACAGGTTAGCCTATACAAATAGGAATAGTATTTGTTCTTGGAAACTGCATATATTTCTGAAAAATTCTTATCAACCATGTCTCCTCCCAGATATTTTCCACAGGTTTTAACATAATATCAGTTTGAATAAGGTATAGATGTAAAACAATGTACTGCCTTTATAGGTAAATATTCAAGACAAAAAAATAGAATTATCATATTAACTTACTTCAAGTTAAACAAATCATGCCTTTACAAAGTTGATCTAGCTAAGTAAAAAATAACAAACTAACTCATTCACATACTTACTCCTAGGTATTGATAAATATTCCAGGTTATGATTTACAAGGTAAATTATAATCATGAGGTAATTTATCCCGAACAATACAGTCTCAAGTATAAATGGGTATCAGGGTTTAGGGGAAAAATCTGAATATATGACAATGAATAAAGAAAAAATGACTGGGTTAGTAGACTTACCTACACTTGGGTGTGATTCTAATGTATTCTTTATTTACTAATAAAAATCTTTACTTTTGATTCTAACAAAAAGTTAAGTGTTTTTTAAATGTAAGTGCCTTTTGAAATTTAATGTTGGTCCTTTAAAAAATTCTTTTCACATTATTTTTTATTTTTAAAATCACACATAAATTCTAGTACTTTACAATTTTTAATCATTAGCTCCCAATTCATGTAATATTGGAGAGCACTAGTCAAGTTCATTTATGATTTTACAGATTTATATCAAGGCCATTTATTGTCTAATTTTCAACATCCTGAAATGTGTGTCACCTAGATGTTCATTTGTTTAGGCTTAAATGTTTGAAGTGTTTACTCCTATCACTTCTACCTTTACCAATGTGCGGCTTGTAAATTCAGATGATAATACTGATTGCTACATCATTTTAAAAGAAAACAACTCTTGTTAAACACCTATCTTAAAAGCAGGTCAATAACTTGCCTATTGTGATGCTATTGTAGATTTCATATACCTCTTTATTAATGGACTTGGGACTTCATGATCTGAATTACTTTTATGTTTGAAATACTTGAAAAGGCTTTTCTTATTTCCCTTTGCCATCTGTCAGTGTTTTGTTTCTTTTGACCCAATTCACTATAGCTTTCACTAATAGACTCAACTTATTTTAGGAAGCCACTCACTTACTAAAATTTGGAGCCTTTGGTGCTTTATTTTGTGGATTTGCAAGCTTCTAGAACTCTATCAAAATCATAAACAGCATACGATAGATCAAAGGCAAGAATAAATAAAAGGTCAAGTTTCAAAAAATTTATAGCACAAATAGATTATATTTATTGAAGAAAATTAGAATATTGAGTTTGTTACCAGATCAGCAAATTTCAGTTAATTTTCTTATATATATATAAATTGGTGATGCCTACATACCTCAATAATTAGACTTAAATGTATATGTTCTTAAAAACTTTTCATATGTTCATTTTACTTGTCAATATATGGTGACTATTTTTTATTTAATACAACTGTTTTCATTAGAATACTAACTACCTGGCCACAATGTTCTTCTCTTATTTCAAAGGTTTTCCCTTTTGCTATTAGCTGAATCTCCTCCTAAGCTTGCACTTTCCCTACTCTGATGTTACATGCAAAATTCTTACTCTTTGAAGCTCAGATCTGATACCATTTTACCCAAGAATTATTCTAATATAATCCACCTGCAATATATCTCCATTTATTTGTTCCCATGACATTTATTTCCTCAGTTTTTATCCACTAGCCTATATTGTACTAAAATTTTTATATATAATCTTTTATGGTCTGACTGTATAGAATTTCTTATGCCATGGTTTATCAATATTTGTAGTTATCAAACTGACTAGTACAATGTCTAGAATATAGTGGATAATCAATAAATTCTAAACCATATTGAGTTTTGCAAAGGATTCCAAACAAAATTTTGGAACTCCTGCATATTAAAAATGTCCACTATTTTAGAGTTATCCAAAATAATTAATGACTATAATCTATTATTTCTGTAAGGTGTTAGAGTTCATAAATATATTTGAGGAAATATTGACTCTTCACTGCATATTTTATAATATGAAAAAATGCATAATTAGTCTTTCCAAAGCCCGCAATTACAGTTAATGTCATTGAAGTTGCTAGAGTCATTTTGGGGAAGAAGAAAAAATTACAACCATCTGGAAAAACTAGACTACAGTGGTTGCATTCTATAAGGTGGCCTCATTGGGTGTCAAATTAGAGCACTCATCTGTTAGACATCCAGACTGTTTTCAGCCACATGTGCGACATCACAGGCATATGTAACTTAATCACGTTGTCAGTCAAATATCTCATTAATAGGAAGAGAATTATTGGGCTTATGTATAATGAAATGTGACACTGACAGCCAAGCTGCTCCTCAAACAACTTATTCATAACTGCTTCTTAAATTTGCTATAAAGAGGAAAATCCCAAGTTCAGTGACTCAAAAAATTGTTCTTCCAATTCTTTGGACCCATTATTGCTATTGCCATTGCGCATTTGCAGTTCTAATTATGTATTTGTAATTATGCTCCATATACAGAAATTTAACATTGCGATTACATCATTTTAAGTTGCTGTATTTCCACTCTTTTAAGAAGGCAGAGGGAGAAATGGAGGAAAAGAGGGAGAAGGGAACATAAGAGGATTTAGAGATCAGTCCCAACTCTGTCAACTTAAAGCTTCCACAAAGGAAAAAATTGACATTCATCAATGACAAAGAAAATGTCTGGCAACTTCTTTAAACACCTTATCTAATTTATGTTTTCAAAATTTTCAAGTGTAGATATTTTCACCATTTGATAGACTGAAAAAAGAGGATCTCAAATAATTAATAAATTGCTCAATATTTCAAACATGAACATGGTGAGGAGGAAATTCAAAGTAAACTCTTTAGAGGTTTTGCTATTTCTGCTCTACTGTCTTGTTTCTAAACTGTTGAAGGATTATGTTCCACACTGAAGCAAACTCCCTATTCCTTAAAATACATCATGGAAAGATAGAAAGGGAAAGGGAAAGACTCAAGACAAGTAGTCTGGGTAAAATGATAAAAAACCATTGCAAGGTGTTACATTACTGGTGTAATACCCTAACTGACATTTTAGAAAAAGTACCTGACTCAGTTGTACCTATTCTCCAAGGTTTAACAAAAAAAGGGTTCTGACTGTGCATTTAATACATATTCCCATGAGAGTAGAAGAGAATGAGAATAAATATTAATTACTTTTAATCATTATTTTATTGAGGATGGTGACATAAAGAAGATGAGTATTTTGGTTTAAATTGTGATGGGATGCCACTTTTACAATATAGTTTAATAAATATACAACTCGTTAAAAGATGTTGTTTGAACCTATATGCTTAACTCTGTTCATTCATAAATTCCCTTAAAATAAATGTACTAGAAAGTGAAAATAAATCTGTCCTCTCTATTCAAAATGGAAGATGAGAATGGATATCATCAATAGATGGGTGGTAATGCAGATAGGATTGTACTGAAGGAAGTACTGAAAAGCTGATAATGTGAAACATAAAAGAAATCTTGCATGAAAGTGTGTGAACAGAATATCTCAGGAGAAAGAACAAAACAAAAACAGAAACAAAAGGAAACAAACATAAAATGGTAAAACAACCAAGTTCAGAACAGAAGGCACCAGTTCAAACTGTGAAGCTTCAAAAGGAGGAATTGTGTGATGTATTTGGCCAACGTGTTAGCCCAAATTTAGTTCAAGTATGGATGGCTGTGCAAAAGGAAGGCACTGTGGCACAGAGCTCTCTGTGAGACCTGTGAAAGTGAGATAGTCCCTAAAAGAATTAGCTTTCTACAATTAACATGGAAAACAACCACTCTGAATCAGTGAAGTCCTGTGCAACTTGCTGGCTGGTCTCCTACTTCCTCCCTGCCTCCCAGGCAACAGAATGCCAATACAGAAAAATAAAATAGATAAGTGTAAATATCTTCCTTTCCTTTCCTAATAATTTAGACTAAAACACAGGAATAGAAAGCCACATCAATGTAGAAAGCAATTTATAAATTCATAAATTTTCATGTCTCACTAGTCTAAAAGGAGGACACTATTTTGAAAATTCTGTAATAGTTACGTCCAATAAAGCAGGCTTACTCCAAGTAACAGGAGGAATACTAAACATGTCTTAATGTATTATGTAAGACAATCAAGAGAACATTGTAATTGAAAGTGGATATTTGACATCAAAATGAAATTTTTACAAACATAGAATGACTTTATGTCACGAAAATCATACACAGCAGGAACTCAAACAAATAAATTTTAAATCAACTAAAGAAATTCAAAAAACGTTTGTTTATGGGTAAAAAATAAATGTAATGAATGTAATCTGAGGAATGTGAATATCTGAGATACGAGTAACCCCTGAAGAAGAGAACGGAGCCTGCTGAAAAGTACTAAGTGAAGGATTATGAAAAGAAAAACCCACAGCACTGAAAAACAAAACTAGAGAAAAATAGAATCAAAAGGTGGACACTTAAGAGAGAAATTAGTGAAGATATGATATATTCAGAAGATAATGGCAAGATTTTGGGATTTCTATAGAGACTAAATATCTGAAAAGCTATATATATCTAAAATGTAAATAGGTTGACATAAGATTTCTTATCTTCAATGTAAGATTTTAAAAAGTAGTAGAGCAAATACTTTGAATACAGCAACCACTTCAGAAGTTTCTATGACAATACATTTTAACTTTGTTTTATAATATGATTGTGCTGATTTTGTCTGTCACCATATGAAGCTATTTAGATATCTTATCCAATTTAATTGGACAATAACCCTTCTTGATTAGTTGATTTTTAAAATCCCCATTATAAAGATGAGAATATAGAGGCTAAAGAAGATAAAGTAGTTTCATGAATTTATACATATAGTATGGGGAAAAGGCAGGGTACATATCCAAGCCAGATTAAATTTAGAGCCTGTGGAGCTAATCACTACACACTAATACTTCTCAGGCCCATGAAAAATGCATATCTTAGAAGATAATAAATTTAACAATAAAATAATGTATTCAATAAAGTACTATTTAAATCAAAATTTTATAATAAGGTAGATGGAATCCACCAAATCTATAAATCCTATAAAAATAAAACTTAAAAAAAACACAAGTAGAGAGACAGAATTCAAATAATAAAATTATTTTCTATACTATATTATTTTCTATACTATAAGAATAGACCAAAATGAAATGGCATTAATATATAAAGAGCTTACATCTATCTAAAACATTATCAATACATAAATAATTTTTGCATATAGAATATTCATATATGTGTGTGCATATATATAAATTCCTGGCTTAAATAATAAAAAACCTACATATGCAAATATAAAAGTTTTTTTAGATTAAGTTACTGAGCATTTCTGTATGGTTTGGGAGAATAGGCTTGCTCATATGTTTATTGGAATTGTAAGTAGGTTTGATCTTTCTGAAGAAAAATTTGGCAGTGAGCAAAGTAATGCCGCCAAGTAGTTCCAAATACACGAGGCTTTAGTTTAAGGTGGTTCAAAAATAGTTTCCTATAGATATAGAAATTCAGTAGAAAATGAAAGTAACATTTTCAAATCAGTAGAGAAAAGAGAGATAATTCAATAACCATTGCTGGGGAATAGATTAATAAATCAGGATTTCTGTCTCACTGCTCAGAAATGTCTTCACTTCTCAATCATTATAAATAATTCACCAATGCTATTTATGAGCGCTGTTATTTTTAAAGCACTCTTATAATTCCCTTTTAAAAATTAATATTGATTCATGTGAAAGCAAACATATAATATTTCAGTTGTTAGTAAGTTGTAATACAAACAATAAAAAAATAGCCCAACAAGGCAAAGAAAATGTGTTGTTGGGAGAGGTGCTTTACATGGGATGATGAAGGACTGCTGTTTGAAAAGACTGGAGGGAGGGCGGAGGTATCTGATATCTGACAGAGAGCTTTCCAGGCAGAAGAAGACCCTGAAGGCAGAGGAAGATACATGGCAAGTGTGTGGCCAAGGAGGCCTGCTAATGAGAGAGGAAGGGGACATGAAGGCAGGACAGCCAGGACGAGATGACTCAATGCCCAAGTAAGGATTTTAGCTTTGGCTCAGAATGAGATTTTTGTGCAGAGGAATATTATTTGGCATATGCTTTAAAAGTGTCATAATAGCTACTCTGTTGAGAATAGATAAGTTAGAGGATGTCACAATAGCCCAGGTGAGATATGACAACGGTAGGTCATGAAAAAAAGTTTGATTTTGTATATATTTTGAAAGTGGGGCTAATAGAACTGGTTGATGGATTGATTATGGGGTATGTATAAAAGGGAGTGTATTAATTCATTTTCACACTGACATAAAGAACTACTCAGGGCTGGGTAATTTATAACGAAAAGAGGTTTAATTGACTCAGAACTGCCAGGCTTGGGAGGCCTCAGGAAACTTATAATCATGGCAGAATGGGAAACAAACATGTCCTTCTTCACAAGACTGCAAAACAGAAACAAGTGCAGAGCGAAGGGGAAATAGTCCCTTATAAAAACCTCAGATCTTGTGAGAACTCACTATCACAAGAACAGTATGGGGGAACCGCCCCCAAGATCCAATCACCTCCAACAAGCTTCCTTACCCAACATGTGGGGATTATAATTCAGATGACAATTCAAGATGAGATTTGGATAGGGACACAGAGCCAGACCATATCAGGGAGGAAACAAGTTTGACTCTTGACAAGAAAGATCTAATATCATTAGTCTTAATTTGCAAAGAGAAGCACACCACACAAATACATACACACACACCTCACAATACTAAAAGTGATTTACTTTAAACAACTGACTCCATATACCCAATAAACAGGAAAATGATGCTCAGCATTTATGTCTCAAGGAATGTGGAAACGTAAGAATTTAACAAATAATACATTATTTGATGATACTCATGGCTGGCAAGGCTGTGCAGAAACAAACATTCCCACACATTGCTGATCAATGGTTTATTGTAAAAGACTTTTGTAAGAATATTAGATAATTGTTCTCATATTTAATATGTTTACTATTTGACCTGATAATCTCAAGACTAGAAATTGTTGCTAAAAAAACACAATTGGCAAAGATATAGGTTATTAATAAATTTCTGGGAGTATAATTGACAATGTCCTCTAAAACATTTACACTCAGTCTTTTTTATTTTTTTAATTTATTTATTTATTTTTTAAGTTTTGGGGTACATGTGCAGGATGTGCAGATTTGTTACTTAGGTAAACATGTGCCATTGTGGTTTCCTGCACCTATCAACCCATCGCCTAGGTATTAAGCCCCTCATGAATCAGCTCTTTCCCCTTATGCTCTCCCGCTCTGCCCTCCCCTGACAGGCCCCAGGAAGTGCTGTTCCCCTCCCTGTGTCCATGTATTCTCATTGTTCAGCTCCCACTTATAAGACAAAACATGCAGTGTTTGGTTTTCTGTTCCTGTGTTAGTTTGCTGAGAATCATGGTTTCCAGCTTCATCCATGTCCCTGCAAAGGACATGATCTTGTTCCTTTTTATGGCTGCATACTATGCCATGGTGTATACGTACTACATTTTCTTTATCCAGTCTATCGTTGATGGGTTGATTCCATGTCTTTGCTATTGTGAATACTGCTGCAATGAACATATGTGTACATGTATCTTTATGATAGAAAGATTTATTTCCTTTGGGCATATACCCAGTAATGGGATTGCTGGGTCGAATGGTTTTTTTCATTCTACATCTTTGAGGAATTGCTGCACTGTGCGCATTCAGTATGATATTGGCCATAGATTTGTCATAAATGGCCCTTATCATTTTGAGGTATGTTCCTTCAATACCTATTTTATTGAGAGTTTTTAACATGAAGAGATGTTGAATTTTACACTCTTATATTCTCCTTGGCACAGACAAGACTCAGGGGGTGCTCTAAATTGTGGACTCATTCGGACATGAATTTGTATCCTGATTATAACATTTTGAGGCTGTTTGAACATCAGCAAAATGCTTACATTTCTCAATCTATATTTATTTAGTAGTAGCCTTATAAGATTATTGTTGAATTAAATGAAATAATGAATATAAAGTAATACTGGTATACTATCTGACACAATCTTATTATTCAATACATGGTAGCTATTATTGCAGTACCTGGGGTGGCCTGAAGCACGTTAATATGGTTTGGCTCTGCGTTCCACCAAAATCTCATGCTGAATTGTAATTCCCATTGCTGGAGGAGGAGCCTGGTGGGAGGTGATTGAATCATGAGGGTAAATTTCTCCTTACTGTTCTCATGATAGTGAGTGAGTTCTCATGAGATCTAGTTATTTAAAAGTGTGTAGCACTTCCCCATCCCTTTTCTTCTACTCTGGCCATGAAGGATGTGTCAGCTTCCTCTTTACCTTCCACCATGATTGCAAGTTTCCTGAGGACTTCCCAGCCATACTTACTGTACAGCCTGCAGAACCGTAAGCCAATTAAACTCCTTTTCTTTATAAATTATGCAATATCAGGTATTTCTTTATACCAATGCAAGAGCAGACTAATACAGAAAATTGGTACCGAGAAGTGGGGCATTTCTATAAAGATAACTGAAACTATGGAAGCAGCTTTGGAGTTGGGTAACGGGCAGAGGTTGGAACAGTTTGGAGGGCTCAGAAGAAGACAGGAAGATATGGGAAAGTTTGGAAATTCCTAGACAATTGTTAAATTGTTGTGACCAAAATGCTGATAGTGATATGGACAACAAAGTCCAGGCTGAGGTGGTGTCAGATGGAGATAAGGAATTTATTTGGAACTGAAGTAAAGGTCACTCTTGCCATGCTTTAGCAAAGAGACTGGCAGCATTTTGTCCCTGCTCTAGGGATCTGTGAAACTTTGTACTTGAGAGTGATGATTTAGGGTATCTAGTTGAAAATAATTTCTAAGCAGCAGAGTGTTCAAGATGTGACCTAGCTGCTTCTAACACCGTATGGTCATATGTGTGAGCAAAGAGATGATCTGACAATGGAACTTATATTTAAAAGAAAAGTGAACATAAAAGTTTAGAAAATTTGCAGCCTGACCATGTGATAGAAAAGAAAAACCTATTCTTCTGGGAGGAATTCAAGCCAGCTGCAGAAATTTGCATAAAGTAACAAGGATCCAAATGTTAATAACCAAGATAATGGGAGAATGCCTAGAAGACATTTCACAGACATTCTTGGCAACCCCTCCCATCACAAGACTGGGGGCCTAGAAGGAAAGAATGGTTTTGTGGGCCAGGCCAAGGGCACTGCTACTACTCTCTGAATCCTTGGGACATGGCACCCTGCATTTCAGCTGCTAAATCTCCAGTCATGGCTAAAAGGGCCCAAGGTATACCTTGACCTGTTGCTTCAGAGAGTGCAAGCTATAAAATCCTTGGTATTTTCTACATGGTGATAAGCCTGCAGGTGCACAGAGTGCAAAAGTTGAGCCTTAGAAACCTCCATCTAAATTTCAGAGGATGTATGAAGATGCCTGGATGTCCAAGCAGAAGTCTGCTGCAGGGGTAGAGCCCTTATGGAGGACCTCTACTAGGGCAGTGCAGAGGGGAAATGTGATGTTGGAACCCCCACACAGAGTCCCTACTGGGGCACTGCCTAGTGGAGCTGTGAGGAGAGGGTCACCATCCTCCAGACTCCACAATGGTAGATCCACTGACAGCTTGCACTGTGTGGCTGGAAAAGCCACAAGCACTCAATGCAAGTTCGTGAAAGCAGCTGCAGGGCTGTACCTTGCAGAGGTATAGGGGCAGAGCTGCCCAGGGTCTTGGGAGTTCACCCCTTGCATCAGTGTGGCATGAATGTGAGACATAGAGTCAAAGGAGATTATTTTTTAGCTCTGAGATTTAATGACTGCCCTGCTGAGTTTAGGAATTGCATGGGGCCTTTAGCCCCCTGTTTTTGTGGCCAATTTTTCCCTTTTGGAATGGGATCATTTGCCCAATGCCTGTACCATCATTGACTCTTCGAAGTGAGTAACTCGTTTTTTATTTTACAGGCTCCTAGGCAGAAGGGACTTGCCTTGTCTCAGATGAGACTTGGGACTTGAACTTTGAGTTAATGTTGGAATGAGTTAAGACTTTGGGAGATTGTTGGGAAGACACGATTGTGTTTTGAAATGTGAGAGAGACATGAGATTTGGGAGGGGCCAGAGATGAAATGCTATGGTTTGGCTCTGCAGCCCCACCCAAAGCTCGTGTCAAATTGTAATCCCCAGTGTTGGAGTAGGGGCCTGGTGGGAGGTGATTGATTCATGGGGGTGGACTTCTCCCTTCTGTTCTCATGATAGGGAGTGGTGAGTGAATTCTCACGAGATCTGGTTGTTTAAAAGTGTGTACCACTTTCCCCTATCCTCTCTTCCTCCTTCTCTGGCCATTTAAGATGTACCGGCTTCCCCTCTGCCTTCTGCCATGATTGTAAGTTTTCCGAGGCCTCTACAGCCATGCTTTCTGTACAGCCTGTAAAATGGTGAAACTATGTTTTAAACCTCTTTTTTGAAAAAATAAATTACCAGGTCTCAGATAGTTCTTTATAGCAATGTGAGAACAGACTCATACACATGTAGACTTTAGTGTTTATGAATTTCTTCCTTTGAAAATTTTCTCTGCCCAGAGTACTTGAAATTTCTGGAAACTCTGGGAGAATTGTTTTACTTCTAAGGACGAATTCAACAGAATGATTACTTAAAAAGAGTAAAAAATGCATTATAAAACATGACACTTTGTCTCTTCCTTGCTCAAGAGATTAATCCATTTTCCCATGTCTCAGAAATTCTTATTTGTATTTATGCAAAAGCTGTTCTTTCTGCATAATACATCTTATTACACCAAAACTACACATTCTAATATTTGTCTGATACTTTTATGTTTCAAATATTCACGTTGTGAGTTTAGTACAAAAGTGTAAGTTTATATGTGATCTTGAAAATAAGAAGGAAATTATAGTAACCATCTTCAGCTTAAAAGTTTTATACTTTATCTGAACATAAATTGCACTTCACATGAAATAAGAAGCTGTAATTCTACTCCTTTCTTTAGTACTACTCTGAATTTACACTCAGTCAAATCTTTGTTTAAATTAATCTCTCTAAAGAAAAGAATAGGCAATAAATCAGTTAAAAATAAATATAATTATAAAATTTGTGTTTTTCATTTTCAAAGGAATGTTGGCTCCATGTCAGAAATCAACAAGCAAAGGCAATCACCTCTATTATACTTCAGCATTGTGATTCAGTGCAGTCATTAGTTATGAAGGGTTGGGAGAATTTAGAAAGAGAATACTTAACTTGGGCTGGGGAAGGATAAGTGAAATCTCAGTAAAGGAAATGATAAACCATAATCTGAAAAGAGAAGGGGTCACAAGAAGTATGGAAATGTTCATGAGAAGCATAAGGGCTCTTTAAACTGGCCCAGAGAGTTGACATGATATGAATTATTTTAAATAATTAATTTGTATCACAAATACCACATAGATAAAAGAGGAACAAATAAGCAGTGGGATTTAAATTAAAATATGTGTGAACACTTTAAATTTATTTTTAACCCCTTGGAAAAAATATTTTTCACAGTAAATGGCTTGGCTGTTT
This sequence comes from Homo sapiens, assembly GCF_000001405.40. Classification (NCBI taxonomy): domain Eukaryota; kingdom Metazoa; phylum Chordata; class Mammalia; order Primates; family Hominidae; genus Homo; species Homo sapiens. Next base: position 81,339,333 of record NC_000010.11, read on the forward strand.
CTGAAGATGCCATAGAATTGATGAGCAATACCAGCCTGTCTCAAGCAAATTGTCAAAGCTAAATGGAGTAAGTGTTTAAAATGGTCACTCAGGCAGAACCATCTGCTTATTAAAGTGTTTGCTTGAGAAGCCAGGTGCTGAAGTGCTAATGCCTTTATTGATGACATGCAAATTTGTTAAATATTGAAATCTCCTTTATCAAGATGTCATAGTTGTCGTTCTTCTCCTTCCTCTTTTCCATTCCTTTCTTGCAACAGTGGAGAGAACAAATCAGAAAAGCTGGAGTTCAGCTTTGATCTATGAAAAAGCTAATTAAAGCAGAACAAAGATAAATAATATAGAACGTGATGAAATAAATTAAGCATTCTCCGCAAGTAAGCTGTGCTATTTATTCATAAGGGTACCAAGAAGTTGATTTCATTGTCCCCTGTGGAGACTCTATGACAAAATATCTGTTATATCAAACATTAGTTTATTGCAAAATAGGAGTTATTTCAGCTAGAATTTTATGCTTTTAAGATACTGGCTAAATTATTAGACCATATATGAAGTAATTAGGAAAATTGGAGGCTTTAAAAGAAATAAAGGTAGGATAACCACTGAGTGTGTATGTAGTGATTAAAATAGCTTTAAACCATTAAAAGTAAAATTGTTAATTGAAGAAAATACACCATGTGTTCTACCTTCCAGTTATAGCCAATGCTAATTACTCTCCATAACTCTTTCCTATTCTGCTCATTTTGTGTATCACATACCGTAATTCGTTTTGGAGGGTGATTAGTAAGCCCAGGTGTCTATGTCTTGTCCTCTGCCCAAATGGATGGTTCCCATCTACTCGCAGGCCCTCTAGTGCAATATGGAAAGTGCTATGATAGAGGTACAAACAGGTTTAATAAAAGAAAGGTCTGCAAGAAGAGGAGACTCAAGTTAAATTTGAACAGAGGAAAGGTATTCAGTAGTAGAGAGTATGGAGTAAAGGGCCACGCAGAAGGCGAAATTACAAAGGCAAAGACGTGATGGAACACAGTAAGGTTGGATACCATTTAGCACTATGGTTAACAATGACCTATCTATGGTGGCCAGAGATACAGCAAGTAATGAGGCTGAAATAATGAATGGAAATAAACAATTTTGAAGGCATGTTTGACATCCCCAGAAAAGGAATATATGTTGTCATGATGAAAAATAATTTTGGGATTTCAAACAAGGTATTCATATGATTGGACTTGTATTTAAGATGGGCTACAGTGGCAGGTAGGTAATATTTGTGTTGGGGATGCAAGTGATATTGAAAATATATTAGAGACAGCAATCTAGGAAGAAAGAATCTTAGAAATCCAAATGAAGATAATTTATAATTATCCCTTAAAAACACAGTCTCCAGAAAATATATGTAAATATGTGATTATGTAGCAATTTCTTAATTTTAAAAATAACATATTAATTTATGAAATCAGGTTACATAAACAAGAATGCAAATGGATCATTATTGGGCAAAAAATCTGAACATATTTATTATATTTAATATTTTAATGAGGAAAATCAGAAATAGTATCCCAATTAAACTGTAAAATGGAAGAGAAATATACCTCATAAAAAGGCTAGATTCTTAGAAAAGCTGTATAGGTGTGAAATATAAATGTCAAAGGAAAATTCAAGGTGTAAAAGTAGCAATGTTAATTTAAAGATATTTTAAGGACATTTTATGAAGTGTTTGTACCATGGCTTTCCCAGAAAATCTATATTTAAAATATCTGGAATGATAAGAAGACATAAGCTGTCATAGAGTATATTTTTTAGTAATCAGTCCTGCAAATATGGCTATAGATAGGCCAATCATAGCTTTCATTAACATATAATGTACTCATGTTTAAACTCTAGTTTGCTGGTTTTATAAATAATTAAGAATTCTGTTTTCTTGTAGATGATCCTTGAGTGGTTCATTTATTTTCTAAAACAGGAGTAATATTTATTTATTTAGTTGGGAAGTACTGTGTGAAAAACAGAGTAATGAAGTACATGTTATTTAATTATGGTGATTTTTAAGGACTATTCATATTATTATGATCACTAATGTTTAAAGTTATTAATAATTAAAATGCAAGACTCTAGTGTCATCATTGTTTTGTCTCTTTCTCACAAACATGTTTTACACCTATTAGAAAAGCTTGTTGTCTCCACCTTCAAAATATCCCCAGACTCCATTGACTACCATGCTTACCATGCCATGAGCTTCCATCATGTTTTTCTGGATGACTGGCACAATTCTTCTAACTTTGCTCCCCATCACCTCATGAGTCTATAATCTATAGGGCAGCTAAAGTGATCCCTTAAAATAGCAAATCATTTTATGTCATTCTGCTAGTTAAAAGCTGGCAACTGCTTCATATTTCAAGCTGTATTAAAGCCAATGCACTTAAGATTTTCTACAAAGGCTGGGTGCATTGGCTCATGCCTGTAATCCCAGCACACTGGGAGGCCAAGGCAGGCGGATCTCTTGAGGTCAGGAGTTCAAGACCAGCCAGGCCAATATAGTGAAACCCTGTCTCTACTAACAATACAAAAATTAGTTGGGCGTGGTGGTGCATGTCTGTAGTCCCAGCTACTCGAGAGGCTGAGGCAGGAAGATCCCTTGAACTCGGGAGGCGGAGGTTGCAGTGAGCCAAGATCACACCACTGCATTGCAGCCTGGGCCAGGGAGTGAGACCCTGTCTCAAAAAAAAAAAAAAAAATTAAAAAAAAGTTTTTCTGCAAGGCCTCAGTTTTCTTTCTAACTTTTTCTTCTACTTTATCCTTTGCTTACTTTGTTCTAGATTCTCTGGCATCCTTAGAGTTCTAACTTGTTAGGCACAGTCTTCCTGTTGGATTTTTGCATTAGTTATTTCTTCTGTGTGGACTTTATACCTCCAGACATCTGTGTAGAAACCTCCTTATTTCCTTGAAGACATTGCTCAGATACTATCTTCTTCCTGATTGTTCACTCTACATTAAATTGCACCCTCGGCACTCTCAATCTTTTTATTTCTCTGCTCTTTTTCCCCCCAAAGCTTTATTACCTTCTAACATACATTAATTATTTACTTTTTAAGGTATATACTTATTTATCTTCTATTCACAATGGTATGCAATGTTCTCAATACAGCAACCTATGACTGTTTTGTTCACTAATGTATATAAAATATTTATAAGAAAGCCTGATACATTATACTGATACAAAATAGGTGCTCAGTACATATTTGTTGAGTGAATACATGAGTGAATTTAAACAAAAGGGCATTATATGATTTTCTGAAGCTCCTGAATTAACCAACCCTGGAGCTGCCCTAACTCCGGCCATCTTATAAGGTAATAACTTCCTAATTGCTTGAGAAGTTGGTCAGTGTTTTATTTTACCTACAACTGAAAATACTCAAACTGATATAGAAGAATTTTGACTGGGACATATTGTTCTGATATTGGATTAATGCTTAATATGATTACAAAAACAAAAGTTTTAGAGCCTTAGATTTATCATAAGGCATGGGGAATAGAGACAAATTCCAGGTACATTTTACATGTAGAATTGACATGACATGCGGAAAGAATTAGGAGAGAGTGTTGCAAATAGTCATAATAAATGTATGACAATAAGTAAGATTTCAAAGCCTTGAAGTAGATAATTTAGCAAAAGAAGTAATTACACAAACTGGAAAGGTTGGACCTTGGAAAAATCTGAAATTTCTGATTGTTTAAGTAGGAAAAGACATCCTAGAATCTTTCCAGGAAGTCCCTTTTGTGATTCTACATCATTCAGAGAAATGAGACAACCTTTCTTTAAAAATATTTTTCAGTTTAGGTCCTAGTAGAAAGCAAGGCTAAACAAAAAGTTTAAAATGCATTGATGATTTTGCACTCATGCATTTCTAAAAAAATGTTAAATTTCCAACATCATAACTCAAAAGTACTAATTACATTAACAAAGAAATAATCATTTTTATGCAATTATACCACACCAGTGATGTTCCAATCAGATGCCACTTCTGGTAACAGATGTCACAGATGATATGATGAATTCTTGCAACTGTTTCTGATAAAATAGTTAAAACAATCTCCAATCAGGTCTTATCACATACAGCTATTTTTCATAATGCACAAAAGAGAATTTTCTTTACTTTACATGACAATAATAGCTATTTTCTAAACTGTTTTAAAGCACCTGAGAACCTAGAGCCACAGAAGTCGTTTGCTGTATTGATGATCACAGACCAATATTTTGGAAAGACTTGGAACCACATCTTGTTATCCGTGTACCTATACTCATACATATTCTATACTCTTAATAGAACTTTGTGCATTGTTTTATACCTTTTCTGCAAAATACGTAACCTGGAATATTTTTCTTTCTTTCTCTTTTTTTTTTTTCTTAGACAGAGTCTCATTCTGTCACCCAGGCTGGAGTGTAGTGGTGTGATTTTGGCTCATTGCAATCTCTGCCTCCAGGGTGCCAGCAATTCTCCCACCTTAGCCTCCCAAGTAGCTGGGACTACAGGCACAAAACATCACATCTGGTTACTTTTTGTATTTTTAGTAGAGATGGGGTTTCATCATGTTGGCCAAGCTGGTCATGTTGGCCAAGCTGGACTCTAACTCTTGACCTCAAGTGATGCACCCTCCTCGGCCTTCCAAAGTGCTGGAATTACAGGTGTGAGCCACCATGTCCGGCCAGTATTTTTCAATACTATGCGCTCCTATGTGCTATTTCCTAGTTAAGTCATGTAATAATTTGCTCCTCTTCTATTACCATAATATTGAGTAATTTTTCAATCTATATAAAGAGTGAAAGACTCCATCAAGTGTATTTAATTTCACCCATTACAAATAGTATGATCCAACTAGCTGAAGAATGGAAGAATCAGACAACCAGCATTTAAATTCAGAGCCCAGCACTACGCTAGCTACCATGAAAGATACAAAATATATAAATATCATCTCAGATATTTGAGCTTAATTCAGAAAATAAAACTCAGCATTATGGAAAGATGTAGTAAGCCTAAAAACCACAATAGTAAAGAATTGTGATGCAATTGTCAGAAAAATTATCACTGAAGTGATTTTAGATTGATTCTTAGTTTCTGTTCTTAATTCTAATTTATAAATATATGTTTTGTTATGTTGGAGCTTCAGAGCTAAAAGATAATTACAATGGGTCATTGAGATTAAGGATGTCAGTGCCTAGTATAGGATAAATTTTAATAACTAAACTTCTAAAATATTTATGGATAGAATACTTCAAGGAGATTAGAGGCATCAAGGTAGACTCTCTGAGGTGTGCGGTCATATGGTATCTGGATTCAAATAACGCTTTGAAATTTTCTGAGATACTGCAAAAGGATGTCAGATGGTGTATTTTAAAAGCACAAAACCAAAAGGGGTATTTGGAGAACTACTGAAAACTTTTACAGTGTCAGAGGGAATACAAAATATCTCATGTTTGCACATACCTGAATGTAGACTATGAACAGATTATGGAGTTACTTAATAAGAAAATAAATTTATTATTGACATATAAAATAATCCAAATTTTGTGATGTTGAGCAAGAAAAGTTTAGAAGAAAACTGGTGTTGAATAAATGATAATTATTAGAAAATACAAGGAAAGAAAGTGGATGAAAAGGATAAACCTGTAACACAATAATCTCAAATTAAAATGACAAAGGTTTTGATGTAGATGATGAAATGGAATCTAAGTACAATAAATTCATTGTCAATTCAATGGAAAAAGTCATTGAATAGAACCTGATAAATACACTGGCCAACAAACAATTCCAGTCACTGCTACATCCCATTTTAAATTATTAAATATAGCAATCATAAAGAAAAACCCAGAGAATAAGATTATGAACACCTGAATACCAATTACCTAGCTTTAAAAATTATTAATCCTTTTTTATATTCTCTTTATGTTTTTCAAAATAAAGTACTACATTTAAATTTTTTGTGGCCTATTGTAAATGAAGCTTAAAAAACTCCACTGAGATGGCAGAAAACTAACTCTTTTAAAAGACAAATCTACCACAAGAAGAAGAAAATTTGGGAAAGTGGGTCAATAAATGGTACCTAATATATCAGATAAGAAAGAATTGAGTGTTCCAGAAGTAGGCTCTAATAATCAAACTCAGTATAGCTACAGAAAATTTCAAACATTCGAGAATTGAACATAATGATACCCTAGAGGGAATCTTATAGCTTTATTTATCAAAAAGACATGCAAATAAATAAGAAAATATGGCCACATACAGAAAAAATAGCAGTCAATAGAAATTCCCCTTAAACAAACCCAGATGCTGGACTTACTGAACACGTCCTTAAATCAACTTCTTGAAGTATGTTCAAGGAACTAAAGGGAACCATGGCTAAAGACCCAAAAGAAAGTACAATAGTAAGTCTCAGTATGTGCAGAAAGTCAATAAGGAGATAACAATTATAAGAAGAAACAAAAAACTGGAGATTTTAAATACTAACATTTGGCAACCTTGGAAATTAGATTTTCCCTCTTCCTTAAGGTTTGGTGGTGGTGTTTGTTGTTGTTGACAGTTCATTGTGACTCCTGAAGTCTCTACTAGTTAGCTCAGTGGTCAGCTAATGATTTGATAGAGATTGATGTAAATGTCTGGAACAAAAAAGTCCTCATCCATACCGAGTGACTGTGTCTTGGGGCAGGAAGGAGTGGAGAGACAATGAAGCCTTATAGAGGCCAAGTATATATTCACCACTGAAATTAAATTGGTGTTAATCTGGACCAGATTGTTGTATGTTAAGATGTTAATTTAAATTCCCAGGTCAGCCACTAATTTAAAAAACTTAAAAAATAGAGCATATCAAATAACAATTGTATTTTTATATTGATCTTTTATCCTATGACCTTGCTGAACTCAGTTTTACAAGTTGTTGTTTTGTTGGTAATTCACTGGAATTATGTATCACGTCATCTGCAAAGAGAAAGTTTTATTTCTCATTTCCCAATGTGAATGTCTTTTATTTTGTCTTCTATTTAGTGTATATATATATACACACACACACACACACACACACACACACACACACACACATATATATTTAGTATATATACTAAATAGTATATATATAAAAGTATATATGTGTGTATACTAAAATATATATTATATAAATGACATTTGATATCATTTTTAAATATAATATATAGATTGTATTTTAGTATATACTATATATGTACGTATCCTAAAATATACTATATATTATATATGTACTAAATATACTAAATATATTTAACATATTTATTTATTTAGTAAATGTAGACTAAATATGTCTAGTATAATATTTAGTATATATACACATATATGTTGCTAAATATATGTTTATATACTATATTAATACACATACACACACACACACATACATGTATATACATATATATATAGAGAGAGAGAGAGAGAGACAGCAATAAGATCTCATTCTGTCACCCAGGCTTGAGTGCAGTGGCACAATCATAACTCACTGCAGCCTTCTGGGCTCAAGGGATCCTTTCACCACAACATCCAGAGTTAGCTTATAATTAAAAAGAATTTGAGTTATTAAATATTCTATTTTTCCTTCACTAGTTATGATATCTTTACATTTTTAAATAATTTTCCATTTCCTTCAGGCTTTTAACATTGTTGGCTTATATTGGAGAACTTAAACCAAGTAATCCTCTGTCCCTGTTACCCACTACTGGAAATAGGAATCATTTTTGATTCTGTGCTAAACAATTTTAGACTGACTTTTTTTAGACTAAACAAATTTAGACTGACTTTTTTTCCTATTTTTTAAAAATAACTAACACTGAGATCAGTAAAAAGTAAACTGCTTGCTGTAAGAAACACCTGCTGATGGAAAATAAGGTGTGAACAAATTAGCCAGAGTACCAAACTTATTAAGAGTAATAGCTCTCCTATCAAGAGTTGCTTTAGACTCTCACCTCACTGTACACACCAATAGCCAATCCAAAGCTATTATACCAATATACCACTCAATCCCAAATCATTCCCACCTTATAAGTCATACTCAGACTGTAAGTCAAAATTATTCAGCCCATGATCTAAAACCCTATAAATGCCTTTCTATGTTTTCTTTTCTAAAATTATTTTATTTCATATATTTTACATCTACAACATGATGTTCTGGTATATATATATATATATATATATATATATATATATATATATATATATATACACATACACATATACACAATGAAGTGGTTACTACAGTCAAATAAATTAACATATTCATTATCACACATGGTTAACTATTTTGTGATAAGGATATCTAAATTCTACTCTCAACAAATTTCAGTATATAGTAAAATATTAAATGTAGTTATCATGCTGTACACTAGATCCCTCAGCTTATTCATTAAGTCAATGAATTCCTCCATTTCTCCCATCCTCCCCACCCCTGATAACTACCTTTCTATTCTCTATTTCTATGTATTCAAGATAGTCACATTGGTGTATAGTTACAGAACTATAATAATAGGTAGATGTTGAGGCTATCATAAGATAGTCAACATCTTATCTATCAATGTGGTATTTAGTACTTAAACACTTTCTAATGCTGAAACATCTTTGCTTGTGTATGCATTTTTTTACATTGCTGAGTTTGATTTACTATTGCAAATATTTTATAGGTTAGATGAATCCATATTTTCAAAATTGGAAATTTCATTTTTAGAATTAGGTATCTAGTTTATATTAACCTCCTAAGTGTTTTAATTAGAATGTTGTTCATTATTCTCTGAAAGAGCTTGCATAACAGTTTATTTGTTCTTTGAAGATTTGCTCAAACTTGTGTATAAAGCCATCTAGTGGCCTTTTAGAAGGGATCATTCTGACACAAATTTGATGTCATTTTTAAATTCATTTACAACTTTTATTTTCTTAGTGTATTTCAGTACTATATCGCTTTAAAGCATATCAACATATTTTATTTTGCTATTCTTGTGTTATATTTAAAATCTTTACTTTTGACTGTAGTTATGTCCTTTGAATTAGTTCAAACTATCTGTGATGTTTCCCTGTTTCTTTATAAATATTGCCAGATATTGGTTTGTTGGAGTGAGAGGGAAAAGGGATGGCCTGGTCTCAAAGAATAAGTTCTTTTGGCTTTGTTCACCCTTTTTTTTTCTTGATTTCATTTTCTATTTTACACTTATTTTTACATCTTCCCTTTTACTTTTCTTAGTTTTGTTATATTACCCCTTTTATATAATTGTTTTATTAACACATGTACTTTAAAGTATTAACTTACTTCTAAATGCCACTGTGCAGAAGCTTTTTAGTTTGAAGCCCTTGAGTTTTCATGTGTGATAATTTGCTACCAATATAATGTGTATATTCTGTCGATTACATTGTATAATACACTTTAAGGTGTGAATAAATTGTGAATAACATGTGTTTATTGTATGCCTTTTATTTATATAGTTTTATTGTACACAAATTGTATGATATTGAATGAATTACGTGCAATTGCATTCCATTCAGTGCACTAGGTTTTATTACGTCAATGCTTGGAAATTTGTTCCATCGTGACATTGTCTCTAGACAATTTTATTTTTTGAATTCCATTTGATCATGAAATGAATGAGTTCAAATTATGTTATATATTTGCATATATATGAATACATATATATTGTAAATAAATTTATGCATATGCAGTATGGATAAATACATATACATGTATAAGTATATACACATATATAATTAAGCCTGGTTGAAATTATAATTGTTAATTATTTTAAAAATGGTTCTCTTTTAAACCACTTGTGGTATGATTGACATATAAACAGTTGTACATATATAAGTATATATCTAGATGAGTTTGGGAGTATGTATACAATCGTGAAACCATCACCATCATCCAGGCCATAATCATATCCATCACCTCCCAAAGTTTCTTTCTGCCCTCTTTAATACTTATTTTTTATTTTTTGTGTGTGAACATGTAACAGAAGGTCTACTCTCTTATGAATTTGAATTGTACACTACAGTATTGTTAGCTTACATGTACTATGCTTTATAGATCTCCAGAACTTTATCTGGCATTGCTGATAGTGAAACATTGTACCTTTTAACCATGACTTCTCCATTTCCTCCCCGCTCCAGCCCCTGGTAACCATCATTCTCTTCTTTGCTTCCATGTCTTTGACTTTTTTAGATTCCACGTCTAAGTGAGATCATACATTTGTTTGTATTTGCAGGGCTCCTTTCCCTCCAAGTCCATTTATGTTCTTCTAAATGATAGGATTTCCTTTTTTTCTAAGGTTGAATAATATTCCATTTTATATATATAATACATTTTCTGTATCCATTCATCTGTAATTGGGCATTTAGATTGATTCCATATCTTGGCTATGGTGAATAATGCTACAATAAACATGGAAGTGTTTCTTTATCTCTTCAGCATACTGATTTCATTTCCTTTATGTATACACCCAGTAATGACATTGCTGGATCATATGGTAGCTCTATTTTTAACATTTTGAAAAACTTCCATACTGTTTTTCAAAATAGCTGTATCAATTTATCTTCCTGCCAACAGTGTACAAAGGCTTCTTTTTCTCTACCTCCTCACGAACACTTATCTTTTTTTCAAAAAATACTAACCATCCTAACAGGTGTAAGGTAAAAGTATATCAGTGATTTCCATTTCATTGATGATTAGTTATATTGAGCACATTTTTATATACCTGTTGACAATTTTTATGTCTTTTTAAAGAAATATCTGATCAGGTCCTTTGCAATCATTTTTAAGATGGGTTATTTGTTTGATTTTTTTTTTTTTTTTTTGCTATTTAATTGTATAAATTCCTTGCATAGTTTGGATATTAACCCCTTATCAGATATATGATTTGCAAATATTTTCTCCCATTTTGTACGTTGACTTTTCATTTTATTGTTTTCCTTGCTGTGCAGAGGCTTTTTAGTTTGATGTAATCATACTTGTATGTTTTTGCTTTTGTTGTCTGTGCTTTTGGTGTCATATAAAAAAATACAAAAATCAATGTACAAAAATCACAAGCATTCTTATACACCAACAACAGACAAACAGAGAGCCAAATCATGAGTGAACTCCCATTCACAATTGCTTCAAAGAGAATAAAACACTTAGGAATCCAACTTACAAGGGATGTGAAGGACCTCTTCAAGGAGAACTACAAACCACTGCTCAATGAAATAAAAGAGGATATAAACAAATGGAAGAATATTCCATGCTCATGGGTAGGAAGAATCAATATCATGAAAATGGCCATACTGCCCAAGGTAATTTATAGATTCAATGCCATCCCCATCAAACTACCAATGACTTTCTTCACAGAATTGGAAAAAACTACTTTAAAGTTCATATGGAACCAAAAAAGAGCCCACATCGCCAAGTCAATCCTAAGCCAAAAGAACAAAGCTGGAGGCATCACGCTACCTGACTTCAAACCATACTACAAGGCTACAGTAACCAAAACATCATGGTACTGGTACCAAAACAGAGATATAGATCAATGGAACAGAACAGAGCCCTCAGAAATAACGCCACATATCTACAACTATCTGATCTTTGACAAACCTGAGAAAAACAAGCAATGGGGAAACGATTCCCTATTTAATAAACGGTGCTGGGAAAACTGGCTAGCCATATGTAGAAAGCTGAAACTGGATCCCTTCCTTACACCTTATACAAAAATTAATTCAAGATGGATTAAAGACTTAAACGTTAGACCTAAAACCATAAAAACCCTAGAAGAAAACCTAGGCAATACCATTCAGGACATAGACATGGGCAAGGACTTCATGTCTAAAACACCAAAAGCAATGGCAACAAAAGCCAAAATTGACAAATGGGATCTAATTAAACTAAAGAGCTTCTGCACAGCAAAAGAAACTACCATCAGAGTGAACAGGCAACCTACGAAATGGGAGAAAATTTTTGCAATCTACTCATCTGACAAAGGGCTAATATCCAGAATCTACAATGAACTCAAACAAATTTACAAGAAAAAAACAAACAACCCCATCAAAAAGTGGGCAAAGGATATGAACAGACACTTCTCAAAAGAAGACATTTATGCAGCCAAAAGACACATGAAAAAATGCTCATCATCACTGGCCATCAGAGAAGTGCAAATCAAAACCACAATGAGATACCATCTCACACCAGTTAGAATGGCAATCATTAAAAAGTCAGGAAACAACAAGTGCTGGAGAGGATGTGGAGAAATAGGAACACTTTTACACTGTTGGTGGGACCGTAAACTAGTTCAACCATTGTGGAAGTCAGTGTGGCGATTCCTCAGGGATCTAGAACTAGAAATACCATTTGACCCAGCCATCCCTTTACTGGGTGTATAACCAAAGGACTATAAATCATGCTGCTATAAAGACACATGCACACGTATGTTTATTGCGGCACTATTCACAATAGCAAAGACTTGGAACCAACCTAAATGTCCAACAATGATAGACTGGATTAAGAAAATGTGGCACATATACACCATGGAATACTATGCAGCCATAAAAAATGATGAGTTCATGTCCTTTGTAGGGACATGGATGAAATTGGAAATCATCATTCTCAGTAAACTATCGCAAGGACAAAAAACCAAACACCGCGTGTTCTCACTCATAAATGGGAATTGAACAGTGAGAACACTTGGACACAGGAAGGGGAACATCACACTCTGGGGACTGTTGTGGGGTGGGGGAGGGGGGAGGGATAGCATTAGGAGATATACGTAATGCTAAATGACGAGTTAATGGGTGCAGCACACCAGCATGGCACATGTATACATATGTAACTAACCTGCACATTGTGCACATGTACCCTAAAACTTAAAGTATAATAATAATAATAATAATATTGCCAAGGCCAATATCAAGGAGCTTATACTCTGTGTTTTCTTCTAGCAGTTTTACTGTTTCAGACCTTATGTTTAAATTCTCCAATCCATTTTGAGTCGATATTTGTGTATGGTATAATAAGTGTTCAGTTTAATTCTTTTGTATGTGGCTATCTGTTTTTAACACCATTTATTGACTATCTTTTCCCTATTATGTATTCTTGATGTCCATGTTGAAAATTAGTTTACTGTGTATGTCTGAGTTTATTTCTGGGCTCATCATTCTGTTTCATTGGTCTATGTGTCTGTTTTATGCTAATTCCATTTTTTTATTACTACAGCTTTGTTATATTATCTAAACTCAGGAATTGTGATGCTTTCAGCTTTGTTTCTTTTGCTCAAGATTACTTTGACTGTTTGGGGTCATTTGTGGTTCCACAAACATTTTAGGGTTGTATTTTTTTTTCCATTTCTGTAAAATCAAAACTAGAATTTTGATAGGAATTGCTCTGGAATTCCTATCCAGGAATTTCATCCCAAATTTTAGAGTTGTTTTTTCCGTGTCTGTTAAAAAAAAAAAAAAAACCATTGAAATTTTGATAGGAATTGAATCTGTAGAAGGTGTTGGGTGTAAGAATCGTTTAACATTCTTATATTTCCAATCTTTGAATAAAAATTTTTTTCTATTTATTTGTGTCTACTCCAATGTCTTTCATCAATATTTTATAGTTTCAATGTATAGATTTTTCACCCTCTTGGTTCAACTTATTTCTAAATGTTTTATTTTTTATGCTATTGTAAATGGGATTGTTTTCTCAATTTCTTTTTTGGAGAGTTTATTATTAGTGCATAGAAACGTGACTTATTTTTGTATGTGCAGTTTATAACTCACAACTTTACTGAATTCATGTATGAGTTCTAACCATTTTTTGGTGGGTTCTATAGGGTCTTCTATAAGGTTATGTTATCAAAAAACAGAGATAATTTTACTCCTTTTCTATTTGGTTGTCTTTTATTTCTTTTTCTTGCCTAATTTCTCTGGCTAGGACTTCTAGTACTATTTTGAATAGAAGTGGTGAGTGTGGGCATCTTTGTTTTGGTCCTAGTACTAGAGAAGAAGCTTTTACCGTTTCTGCCATTGAGTAGGATGTTAGTTGTGACCTTGCCATATACAGAATTTATTATGTTGTGGTACATTCTTTCCATACTTAATTAACTGAAAATTTTTATTATTAAAAGATGTTGAGAGGGCAGTTCCAAGATGGCCAAATAGGAACAGCTCCAGTCTTTGCAGGCACATGGATGAAGCTGGAAACCATCATTCTCAGCAAACTATCTCAAGGACAAAAAACCAAACACCACATGTTTTCACTCATAGGTGGGAATTGAACAATCAGAACACTTGGACACAGGAAGGGGAACATCACACACTGGGGCCTGTCGTGGGGTGGGGGAAAGGGAGAGGATAGCATTAGGAGATACACTTAATGTAAATGACTAGTTAATAGGTGCAGCACACCAACATGGCACATGTATACCTATGTAACAAACCTGCACGTTGTGCACATGTACCCTAGAACTTAAAGTATAATAAAAAAAAAGGAAAACAAAAGATGTTGAATATTTCAAATGTTTTTCTCCATCTATTTAAATAATCACATGATTTTTATTGCTCATTCTGTTAACATATGTCACATTATCAATTTAAATAAGTTGAAACAGCCTTGTATCCCAGGGATAAATCACACTTGTTTGTGGTGTGTAATCTTTTTAATGCAATATTGAATTCAATTTTCCTGTGTTTTTTAAAGGATTTTTGCATTTACGTTTGTCAGGGATACTAGCCTGTAATATCTTTCTTATAGTTTCCTTGTCTAACTTTGCTATCTAAGTAATGCTGGCCTCATAGAATAAATTTTGAAATGTCCTGTTCTCTTTAATATTTTGGAAGATTTTGAAAAGAATAGACATTAATTCTTTTTTAAACATTGTTATAATTCATCAGTGAAACCACTGGGCCATGGGCTTCTCTTTATTGGGAGGTGTTAGATTATTGATTCAATCTGCTTATGCGTTATTGGTCTGTTCATATGTTCTATTTTTTATGGTTCACTCTTGGTAGGTTGTATACGTTTCTCAGAATTTATCCATTTTTTTGTAGTTTATCTAATTTGTTGGCATATAACAATTCATAGTAGGCCTCATGTCCCTTTGTATTTCTATGCTACCATCAGGTGTTATGTCTACTCTTTCATTTACAATTTTATTTATTTGAGTCTTTTTTTTTCTTAGCCTACCTAAAAGTTCGAGAATTTTTAAAATATTTTCAAAAACGAACTACATTGGTCATTCCCCCACCCCCCCCCTTTTTTTTTGAGACAGGGTCTCACTGTGTCACCCAGAATGGAAAGCAGTGGCATGATCATGGCTCACTGCAGTCTTGACCTGCTGGGCTTAAGCATTCCTCTCATTTAAGTCATTAATCCATCTTGAATTAATTTTTGTATAAGGTGTAAGGAAGGGATCCAGTTTCAGCTTTCTACATATGGCTAGCCAGTTTTCTCAGCACCATTTTTTAAATAGACTTAAATGTCAGACCTAAAACCATAAAAACCCTAGAAGAAAACCTAGGCATTACCATTCAGGACATAGGCATGGGCAAGGACTTCATGTCTAAAACACCAAAAGCAACAGCAACAAAGGCCAAAATTGGGAAATGGGATCTAATTAAACTAAAGAGCTTCTGCACAGCAAAAGAAACTACCATCAGAGTGAATGGGCAACCTACAGAATGGGAGAAAATTTTTGCAATCTACTCATCTGACAAAGGGCTAATATCCAGAATCTACAAAGTACTTAAACAAATTTACAAGAAAAAATCAAACAACTCCATCAACAAGTAGGTGAAGGATATGAACAGACACTTCTCAAAAGAAGACATTTATGCAGCCAACAGACACATGAAAAAATGCTCATCATCACCGGCCATCAGAGAAAT